>NC_000006.12:99616244-99767759 GCF_000001405.40 Homo sapiens | reverse complement strand
CTTTGAAAACGAACAATATTGGAGAACTAATATGACCAATTTCAAGACTTACTACAACAATAGCCAAAATAGTGTAAAGATAGACAAATAGACCAATGAAATAAAATAGACCTATGCCTATGTGAACAATTAATTTTTTACAAAAATGCCAGAAAAATGCAGTGGTAAAAGGATAGTCCTTTCAACAAATGGTAATAGAACAATTGGATATCTGCATGCAAAAAATAAAATTTAATCCATATTTATTCATACCTCACAACATATAGGTGCTTAAGTCTCTTACAGATTATAGACCTAAATACAAAAACCTTAAACTGTAAAATTTCTACTAAAAATAAAAAATGGGAAAAATCATGTGACCTTAGTCTGGGCATTTTTTAAATAAAACACCAAAACCATGATCCATAAAAGAAAAATGGACAAACTGGACTTCGTCAAAATTAAAAACTTCAAAAAATGTCAAGAGAATGAAAAGAAGAGCTACAGACTGGGAGAATATATTTGGAAAATACATATCTAATGAATGATTTATATTGAGAACAAATAACTCTCCAAACTTAATAATAAGAATATAAACAACTGAATTTTTAAATGGCCAAAAGATTTTAACACTTCACCAAAGAAAGACATATAGATGGCAACTAAGCTCATGTTTAACAAATTAGACATGAAGGAAATTCAAATTAAAACCACATGAGATATCACTATATACCTATTAGAATAGTTAAAATTAAAAAGACCATGTCAAATATTGGAAAAGACATGGAAATTTTCATATACTACTGTCAAGAATGTAAAATGGTACAACCACTTTGGAAAACAGTTTCTTTAAAAGCTAAACACCACCTTCCATATGATCCAGAAATTTTACTTCTAGGTTATTTACCCAAGAGAAAAGGAGTATATACAAAGACTTGCACATGAATATTCACAGCAGTTTTATTTGTAATAGACCAAAACTGGAAACAAGTCAAATGTCTATCAATAAGTAAATGAACAAATTATTATATATCTATAAAACAAAATACTACTCAGCAATAAAAAGAATGACCTTTTGATACATACAATGAAGTGGATGAATTTTAATATAATTATGCTGAGTGAAAGAAGCCAGAAAAAGAGTACTGTATGATTCCATTCATATAAGTTCTAGGGAACTATATAGGCACAAATATCTACACTGACAGAAAGTGATGAGTTGTTGCCTCAGCATGGAGCTTGGGCAGGGAAAGGTGAAGGGGAGGGATAACAAGCAGCATGAGGAAACTTTTTGGGGTGAGGGACATATTAATTAGCATGATTATAATGATGTTTCACAGGTTTGTACACAGCTCAAAATTTATCAACTTATACGGTTAATATGTGCAGTTAATTTTATGCCAATTACACCTCAATAAAGTTATGAAACTTATATTTAGCTAATATCTTAAGGAGCACTCTGTACTTAGGTCAAGGTCCATCTTACTATTGGCAGATGTGAATCCATATTTCAAACTGTTCTTTATAATTATGTATTTTATAAGCTTCTTGGGAGTTTTATTATTATGAAAATATTATGAGGTTTATTAGCATAATTTTTATATTATAATAAGCCTGGCAAAGAACTTCAAGTGTGAGTGAGAGAAGCATCATTTCCTCCACTAGACCACTTGGGCTGTGGCCTGTATCACATGTACTTTTCAGAGCTCCACAATGAAGGGGCAGCAGCTACCTACTCAAAGGAAGCTCTTCTGAGCACAACAGCAGAGACATACAAGGGCATTTCAAACCCTTTTTTTGTGTCATATCAGCTAACATCTCATTGGCCAAAGCCAGTCATGCTGAGCCCAAAGTCAAGAAATGGGGAAGGACATTTCTCCTATGGCACTGGTGGACATGGAGTGGACATTTTTGAATTACTGTAATAGTTATCTACTAAAGTCCAACCTCTTTTTCATGTGTTTTATGCTCTTCCCACATATGAAATACATTCCGCAACATCCAAGACCTTCCAAGATTTCATCAAAATTACAACATCAGGCTCAGAAATAAAGATTTACATCATCAGTTGCAGTTTCTCTTGCTCTGGAGAGCTATGAATTACAAAGACGAGTTTTCTTTTTCACACACTTTATATACAATAGAAGACCTACATACCACATGAATCCTCCCAACCATTTTGAAACAGGAAGAGTAGAAAGTACATAGCAATCACTAGACAATAAAAATTCTGACATACCACTTGGCGAATGTCTGGTTTACTTATCTTGAAGGTTGAGAATATTTCTCGATTAGACTCAATTCTGCCTCTGAGTGGCTCCTTAGTCTTTTGTTTTCTATGGCACTGACAGACAGTCCATTCTTTTCCATATCCTCCTTGGAAAATCCTGAGTAGGGAACTGGAGAATATGTACTTTTTGAGCAGCTGAGCATCCTGCTTGTAGAATGCTGGGGACACATCTCTAACAGTATTGGCTTCTTTTAGTCCAGAGACTACTAACATGATTTTGCTAATACAAATATCTCAGAAATACTGTGGGTTTTCTATATATTTGATTCCATTCAACTCCATGTGCCAAAAGGATTGTGTGAATTCACAGTCCTTTTCAAGATGGATATTTCTCCCTCTAAACCTAATGTTTTGTACTCTGGGCACATCAGGCTGATATAGCACCATACTCTTACATATTTTAGAAGCCCTTTTGTCTTAATAAAAGCTTCTACTGATCTAATTAAACTAAAGAGCTTCTGCACAGCAAAAGAAGCTACCATCAGAGTGAACAGGCAACTTAAGAATGGGAGAAAATTTTTACAATGTACCCATCTGACAAAGGGCTAATATCCAGAATCTACAAAGAACTTAAACAAATTTACACAAAAAAATCAAACAACCCCATCAAAAAGTAGGCAAAGGATATGAACAGACACTTCTCAAAAGAAAACATTTATGCAGCCAACAGACACATGAAAAAATGCTCATCATCACTGGCCATCAGAGAAATGCAAATCAAAACCACAATGAGATACCATCTCACACCAGTTAGAATGGTGATCATTAAAAAGTCAGGAAAACAGGTGCTGGAGAGGATGTGGAGAAATAGGAATGCTTTTACACTGTTGGTGGGACTGTAAACTAGTTCAACCATTGTGGAAGACAGTGTGGCGATTCCTCAGGGATCTAGAACTAGAAATACCATTTGGCCCAGCCATCCCATTACTGGGTATATACCCAAAGGAGTATGAATCATGCTGCCTTAAAGACACATGCACACATATGTTTACTGCGGCACTATTCACAATAGCAAAGACTTGGAAGCAACCCAAACGTCCAACAATGATAGACTGGATTGAGAAAATGTGGCACATATACACCATGGAATACTATGCAACCATAAAAAAGGATGAGTTCATGTCCTTTGTAGGGACATGGATGAAGCTGGAAACCACCATTCTCAGCAAACTATCGCAAGGACAAAAAACCAAACACCATATGTTCTCACTCATAGGTGGGAATTGAACAATGAGAACACTTGGACACAGGGTGGGGAACATCACACACCGGGGCCTGTCCTGGGGTGGCGGGAGGGGGAAGGGATAGCATTAGGAGATATATCTAATGTAAATGATGAGTTAATGGGTGCAGCACACCAACATAGCACATGTATACATATGTAACAAACCTGCACGTTGTGCACATGTACCCTAGAACTTAAAGTATAATTTTAAAAAAAAGAAAAATGCAAAATTCAGTCAAGTGGAGCATACAGACAAATAAACAAATGATTTCAAAAAAAAAAAAAGCATCTACTAGAACAGTGCTTCTCAAAATAGTTGTGTTAAAGAATCAGGGTTTTTTTCTGTAATTTACTATAACTGATACTTTTGTAAACTATGATAAAATATGACAGTAATGTCAAATTTCTATGAAACTCTCCAATACTTCTTCTTCTTAGCTTGATCTAGCCCCTGCCTACTTTGGCAACCTCAGCCTTACTGTTTCCTCCTAGCTCACTATGCTCCAGCCATAGGGGCCTTACATTCTGTTCCTTAAACACACCAAATCATTTCTGCCTCAAGATTTTTACACTAGCCATCTCCTAAAATTTAGACATTCTTACCCCCAATTTTTGCCTGTCTAGCTCCTTTTTGCAATTCAAGTCTCAGATTAACTATCATCTCCTCAAAGAGGCTCTTTCTAACCTTTGTAAATTTGCCTCACTCACTCCCTATCATATCATTCCACTATATTTTATTTACAGTACTTGTCACTAGCAGATATTTCTTATATGTTTGTTTGTAGCATTTATTATTTCTGTCTCCTTAACTGTCTCCTCCCACTATGATCTGTGAAAGGAAAAACCATGTCTTTCTTATGTACTCCTGTATCCTAGCAGTTATATCCATAACCAACATCCTCATGATTAAATAAATTAAATGACAAACAAGAGTCTAACATATATGTATACACACATACATAAATAGTTGAAGGTAATCAGCATAGGTATTAACTGAAGTAATTAGTATGAGTAAGAGTTCTCCAAAAAAGATATAAAATTGAGACCAAATCCTAGAATAAAATCCTGGGAAATACCAACATCTATTCCCAGGTGCAGGGATTAAAAAGGGAGCCAACGAAGGAACTTGTGAAAAAATAAGAATGGTCAAAAAGAAACACTGGTAAGTTGTGTTCCAGAAACTAAAGAGAGTTTTAAGAATCAAAGGGTAATCAAAAATGTCAAATGCTATGGAATACTCAAACAGGATAGAGCAAGAGCAGACACAATTGGTCCTGGAAATCAGGTAGACACTGAAAAAGTTCAGTGGGTGATGGTGCAAAAGTCAAAATGGTATGGTCCAGGGAGAGAATGGAGGTGATGAAATGGACATCAAGGATACTCTTCAAAGATCCAGTCTTGTGCCTATAACAATGCTTCAGTCAATGACAGACCACACATATGATGGTGGTCTCATAAGATTATAATACTGTATCTTTACCATACCTTTTCCACATTCAGGTATGTTTAGATATACAAATACCACTGGGCTACAACTGCTTACAGTGTTCAGTACAGTAGGCCGCATGCTGTACAGGTTTGCAGCCTAGCAGCAATAGGCTAGACCATATGGCCCAGGTGTATAGTAGACTATACCATCTACGTTTGTGTTAGTTACACTCTATGATTATCACACAATGATGAAATAATCTAATGATGAACTTTCCAGAATGTATCCCCTTCACTAAGCGATGGATAACTATATTCAATTGTTGGATATAGGCTCAGGTCCAGTTGGAAACCAGTCAAAATATTTGAGAGCCTGAGTAATAATTTAGATGAGTGGTAAAGACAGATCTTTGGAAAGTGAAAAGCAGGGGAAAAAAATCCAAGATTTGGCCAAAGCAGTATTCTAGTTATTTAGGGGAAGGAAACATCAAAAACTAGATTTATAGTTGTTTTCAGTGTTATTGTTGTCCTATGTGATTTCAAGTTATTAATTTTCTCCTATAAGACATGCAGGGTGTAAAGCAATCATGATCTCACAATGACAGTCACAAACTTTTGATGAGCTCAGGCATTATCAATTGAGAAACACAAAGTAGCCTAATTAGCTACTCTTTTGACTCATTGAGGGCTGTTGTGAGGGTCCAGAGAGATAATGTGTATGAAAGTATGCTGCCAGCTATAAGGGAAATACAAATAGAAGGTGTTATTAAGGCTCTATTTGGCTCAGTGATTAGTTCAGAGAATTAATAGCCTGGGTCCACAAACCATCTTTACTGAGCAAATAGTTGCTTGGCTGCCAGAGGCCTGGCATCTAGAGCAGGCAAAAAGAGCGCTGCATTTCTTGTTCTCAGTGCCCTGAAAACAAGTCATGCCTTCTTCTAGTGAGGAACACAAGACAGCAGTGCCTGCCAGGCCTGTCTCCTTTGCTGCCTCTCTTCAGATTTGGAGATAGTTGCTTTATTAGCTGTGAGTCAGAGTAAGGCAATCAGAAAAAAAAAGTCAAGGGAAAATTCAACTGTCAGTTACTTCCATCAGTTTTTCTGAGCACCAGTTATAGGTAAGGCCTTGGCCTAGGCAAATTTTTATGATGGAAAGAATATGAAAGTTGGTCAGGTCAAAGAGATGTGAGTTCAAATTGTTTGCACCGCTAATCAGCTCTACATACAATCTTCAGCAAACCACTTCACCTCTCCATTCCTGTTTCTTTACCTATAAAATGGGGATGATAACATCACATAAGACTGTTATCAGAATTAAATAAGACGATGCATACAAGTCCCAGCAGAGAGCAGCTCACAGTAGGTACTCAGTGACTTCATTCCTTACTAGGCAATGTGGGAGATGAGAGCAGGGAACATGATAAAAGCATGATGATGTCTGTGGAAATAATTGGGAGAGGATGTGATGGGGCCCTAACAGATATAAAGATCACTTTCTATGCAAGTTCACAGGAAGGCAAAATTACACCATACCCATGGTCATGAAAGAAGCAGCATTCAACATAGTTGTTGAGGGGCAGAAACGGACTTGAAAAATGAAAATGGCTTTCTCACAAAGAAATTCAAACTTTTACACTAACATGCTCCTCACGACCATCATGCTGAGGGCATGTTTGTGGAAGTGGGGTGCAAAGGCAACTGAGATTAGGAACGTAGAAGGTACTGTAGGTTTTTTCATAATATCCCTGGGAGAACAGTACCCAAACATTGTAGCTAAGTTAATTATAAAATTAACGCAATTTCAGACTTATATTTAACAATTTCTCTTTTTTGCATGTATTAATGCCAGCAGAAATATTTGGAAAGGTATAGAATCATTATACTCGATTATTTAAATCAAAGTCAAAATAAGACCTACCATGAATGTTAGCATGTTTTCCATATTCTGTGTGGAATTGGATGTATCGTGCTCCAATGGAATTCTGAAATGAGGTCAACTTCTGGCAGGTCACACGACTAATTCTATTAAGCCACTGTTCTGTGATCAGCTCCATATGCGTCACCCTTCTGCTGGGTAATTTTGTGCTCAGTCCAAAGATGTTACGAAAAATAGTAAAATTTTGGTATATTGTCAAAGGTCACACAGTATTATAAAAATCAAGATACAAATGTATAATTAGTTCAAAATCTGAGAACAAAATATCACCTCACTTAGAGTTTAACATAAAATTGTTTTACTTCTCCCAATGAAGATCACTTAGGGAAAAAAAAATTTATCCTTGCAATGCATGAGTCTTGATTGTACCTTGGATCAGGAAAAAATAAAAATAGCTATAAAAGGTATTTTGGAGGCAACTAGGGAAATTAAAATAGGAAATAGATTGTTTTATGGAATTATTGTTCATTTCTTAAGTATAATTTTTAGGTTCTTCAGGAGAATGTTATTATTCTGAAAAGACCAAATGTCACAATATCTATTACTTTTAAATGGTTCAGCAAAAAGTTATATGTAAACATATATTTTATACAGGTCGGGGAAGAGAAAGAAACAGAAGGGAGAGAGAAAGAAACAGAGAAAAAGACAATGACAGTGCTCAAATGTGGCAAAATGTTAACAATTGTTAAATTTAGGTGAATACAGGTGTTCATTCTACTATTCTTTATATTTGATATTTTTCAAAATAAAAAAGTTGGGAAAATAAAAATATTATATCCTTTTCTAAATCTTACTTTACCTTAAATAGAATGGCAAGAATTACAAGAACTGTCTTGTTTAAATGACAAATAGAAGAGATTCATGAAAATTCATTGCCGTTTTCTAGATATACCCGGTGAAAAAAATCTGAGGTTTGAAATTTTTACTGTTTGCCTTCCCTGTGCTATGCTGGTATCACACTGCTATGCTGGTATCACACTGCTATGCGCATATTCTTTGATGCAGTTTGATAATGAATCCCAAGTTTAATACAACCATCTATCTCTGTGCCTCTTGCACCATTTTTTGTATTGATATTTTAATTTTAGTTTTGCTTTGATACCACCATATGCTACAGTATACTAAACACATTAACCCAACAGAGATCAATTTTTCTAAGGGAAACTAATAATACCCACATATAGATGTTCTTCAATAAAGAGCCAAATTTCTTGTCCTCTAAGTAACAAGTTAAGTTTAGATCAACCGATGAAACAAAAGGCTTTATACAACCAAATGTGAAGGGGAAAAAAGGAGAAAGATGAATCAAAATGTTCAACATTGAACACCTTTGTTATGCCACAACGCAGTTGCAGCTGTATAGCAGTGCAAGAGCCAGTGTGTAGATAAAGATGCATTAGTGCATGCAAATATTCCTCAAGGTGTGTATTCCTTCTCTTCACAGTAATCAATGCTGCTAGTAAAAAGAACATACAGATGTTATTTGATTTGTATATACAGTTTTGCCCATAAAATTATATGTCAAGGTATTCCGATGTATCTAATAACACAGGGATCAAATTTCTGAATTCCCTTTACTATAGAAAATGAATTTTGATTAAGGGAGTAGATATACATTTAGCATAAAATAATCTCTTGGTGTGAGGATATAAAGGTAAAAAAAGTAATGTTTCACGATAGTATTTCAAAATTCTCTACATTTACATTAAAATGTATAAATGTGAAAATTTGTGTAATGCTCACATAAATTATCAAGCTATGTGCAAGGAATTTGAATTTTGTTTAAAATTGTGAGCAAATGTGTCATATGTTGTGTTTAAGATACAAATCATTGAAAACAAGGCAACAATGTGATCCACCATAAATTAATGTTTACACTTTTATTAAATTGTCAGATAACTCTCACAAATAAGAGCAGAAGCATGAAGTACACAAAAATGTTATGCTATTTCTACAACTCTGTTCAGAAAAATAACTCAGACTAGATAGAAATCCTTCATGGGCCTCCTGGAAATGGAAATTATGACTGGTACCCTGATTGCCTGGTGTTTTCATATGTGAAAATACATCACATTCACTCACTCAGGACTTCCTTTGCCTAAAAAATGTTAACGTCTTAAGAGTGCATGCTTAATATTTCAATAATATTTGATTCAGTCCAAAAAATTTATAAATAAGTGCCCCAAAATGAAATGATCTGCAATTAGGAATTTGTGAATTCCTTTTCATGAGCAATGTTCAAGCAAAGACCAGACAACCTCTCACTTGTAGGGTTGTTGCGGGGATAAAACACCAGATAGGGGACTGGATCAGGCTCTTTAAAACTCTGAAAATACATTGCCCTATGATTTCTGTAGTTTTAAATATAAAAAGTTGGATTTTTGTTGTTTTGAAAATCTAGATATTTCATTTTTAGGAAATGCAAAAGTGACCTTAATTTTCTATCGTGTGTGTGTGTGTGTGTGTGTGTGTGTGTGTGTGTGTGTGTGTGTGTGTTTTCTGGAAAGAGGATAAATCTCAAAATGGTCGTCTCTTGTAAGCCCTTGATATTAATAGTACATATTTGGAGAATAAATATGACATTTCCTTATTTCACAATGATCACATATAATGATGTTGTTAGAAATACAAATATACATTAATACACTGTGAGAGCCAACTTCTGACCTGTAGATATTGACGTAAGTAGATTTACAGATGAATGAAATAAATGATCGGCTATCACAAAAGGAGCAAGTGAAGGCTCCTCTACTGCTTTTGGAAAGTGATCATTAGTGCACCAATGGAACATAATCAAGAAAGCTGAAGTGGATATATTACGTTTTCTTACAAATATTTTAAGTCAATTTCTGATATACCACTTTAATAGTTATTTCCAAAGTTGCTTTGCTTGATTACTGTTAGCATAGTCCATATAATGTTAATGTTTCTATAATTCCACAATTGTCTCTCATTTTCCAAATTCAAGGCTTCACGATAAAAGTAAGTCATGGTAGACATTCAAAGAATATATGTGTCTATACTAGAAGAAAAGCATGTTGATGTAAAGTGAAAAATGTGATCATTCTGGATTCTGACTCCAAATATCTCAGTTGCTTGAAAATAATTATGGTACAATTTTTGCCTTTCATCTTATTTACCTACAACCAGTGGAAAAAAAAAACTACTCAGCCCACATATGTTATTGGCCCACAAGACAATGATTTAACTGACCATCCAGAGATTTAATTCTGTTTCCACTTGGACTTTGAATGTTCACAATAATCTGGAGATTTTAACATTTTATTTAATAATTTGTCAGTTTTCTCTCCATCAACCTTTCTATTTTTTTCCTAAAACAACTCCACACACCAAAATCAAAACTGCTACATTCATTCTAATTTGCCATTTTTTATATCGATATTCCCATGGAAGGGTTAAAACTGCCTGAGATTTTAAGAAAATATATCAAAAAACTGCTTAGTTTGACTTTCTGTACACTTACAGATAGTTTCATTTTACATTACCAATTCATTAGTATCTTTATCTCAAAGACAATTTTCATAAAAATTTTTGTTGTGATATCTCATATTTTTATTTCAAATTGCTATACTACAGTTTAATACCAAGAATTTCTATATATATCCCTGTTAACAAATATTAGAAACAAAAATATGCATTTGTACTTAAACTTCATGAAGAGTTTATTGCGCTTATTTTATGTAAACAAAAGTATATTCATTTCATGTCTCTTTCATACTTATTTCCCTGTTAAGAATTCTTAATATATAGATGTGCTAAAGTCTAAAACCTATATAGTTAGATAATCCTAGATATAAATTACCATACACTAATGGAGCTTAAAATCATTTTACTATTTTTTGAATTTTAGATGTAAAACCAAGAAGACTATGATAAGATGATAACATTCACATTTAGATTTAACACGTGCATGCATACAGTATATTCAGATACTGATCTTATGTTATTTTTAAATTATTCAATTTCCTATTAACACTATAACAGAATTTTTTCCTCTAGAAAGTCAGCAAAAAACTCACAAGCTGTTATTCAAGGCCAGAACATACTAATAAAAAGTAAAAAATGTATTCACATTCAGATACCAAATTCAATGATCACTGTGTAACAATTGGCATGCTCCTAATACTCATCTCCAACTCAAGAATTTATATCTTGGTTTATAAGACAGAAGACTCAGATGTATTTATTTCTTGGATATTTGAACACCGGTATATGCAATCATAATCTGATTATTTTAGTAAATAATATAGTTTTAAAACAATTTTAGATTTAAGAAACATATTGTTCAAGTTGCCAATAAGCACAAGGACATAAATCAAATTAATTTAAAAATTAACATCTGTTATTTTTATCTCTATTTCTCAAGTATCCTATAAGAAATTCTTTTTTCTGTGTATATTTGTTTGTATATTATATAAGGACTAGAACATAGCTCAAAACTAAGATTATGACCATGAAAAAAATTCCGTCATCAATTATGAAATATTTGAGATCATTACAATTACATTTTTTTCAAAGATCATAAATATTGAGTTCACAAACAATTTGTAATTTTTTTAAAAAAACTTTTAAATTTCAGGTATGAAACAACACTAAATTTGTTTGTATATAACAGGATATGAACATAAATACAAATAGCCTTATGTATTTATATAAAGAATATTTGGACAAATGAAAAGTACAAAATTAAATTAGATTTTTAAAAGCCATATTGGGAACCTACACAATCCAAATTTTGTTAGCATTACACAGAATTATCTGAAGATGCTACATTGGTTACAACGATTTGCAATTGCAGAAAATATTTTGGAACAATAATTTGGAATACTTTTTCTTCCTTGATAATGGCAAATCTCAGTCTTTTGAAAGAGGATTTGAGTTAGAGAAAGCCATGCATTTTTGACAACCAAATTTGATTAAACAAGTTATTGAATCATTGCCAATTTTTCTATTGAAACTTATTTCATCAATTTTGTGTTCTTTATATAATTGTTTAAAGACACGTGAAGAAATGTTTTGAGATAGTTGCATAATTAGAATAGGTTTTTATTCCTCTAATGTGATTACCTTGAAAAGCAATATTCATCCAGAATCATTTTCTTGGACATTTTATTGCTTTCCATCTCAAACAAATGCATGGTACAATTTTTGCACTTTCATATATATATGTATATATAATATTAAGAAAAGAAGCAGATAAACATCCACTAGTATTTAGTATAACTGTGACATAGTGATTTTCTAAATACTGGAGTTTTTTTTATAATAAAGATGAGCTACTTAAGAGATAGGTAGCTAGTCTAGGTCTGAGTTTTTCAATCTCACCACAGTTGACATTTTGGGCTGGATAATTGCTATGAGAATTATCCTGTAGATTTTAGGTTATTTCTCAGCATCCTTGACCTCTACCTACGCAATGCCTGTAGTACGCCCTCAGATGCGACAATCAAAAATGTCTCTGGACATTATCAAATGTCCCCCCAGAGGAAGGAAATCACTCCTAATTGAGAACCACTGGATTAGGTGACTGGAAATTTCTTTCCAACCCCAAGAGCCTATGAACCATAAAATACAATAAAATACATGTAGAGAACATTGTTGTATGTTCTAAAGTTCTAAAATTTGATAAGTATAAAGAATGCCGTAATTTTTCTAGTTATACACATCTTCAAAGACAACTTTGTAGTAAGATGATACGATAAACATTTAAAACTTGTTGTCATAAGGCACAGGCTAATAACATACTAAAAATATTAAGCTCACATTACTACACATACATATACAGATATAGATATAATCACGTTTGTAACAAATCTGTAAATGTGTGCATACTCTTAGCAAATAATAACTTTAAAAAACATGACCATTTAGTATCTGTTCAACAACCTTAAAACTTAACAATAGTATACACTTCATTATGATTGATAAATAAATTTTTAAATGACCTCTCATGAGGGAAGACTAGGCAAAACAATTGTGGTGGACATTTATATAGAACCTTCTGTGATTTTTACTCACAAATACTACCTTTTGTTACGTGCCTACTCTACAACATCTGAATTTCTGCAAAATCGTTGCCTTCTTATATCTACCATTACTGTTAGTCTGTCAGGAGCTAGATCTCAACTGATTAAAAAATACATTTACCAAAATTTAAAATATCTTTCCAGTTATCAACCTTTCTTAAACATTGCATACTTAACACAAAAATCACTTGTGACAAACTAACATTAAGGTGCTATTAAATACCCAAATACAATAATATTTGGTGAAATAAAACAATAAAATAAAATCAGTACAAATAGTAATAGCCCAATATTTTCTTCTTTTCTTCAAATCAACTTACCTCGTTTTTGATTTAGCCAATATTATATGTCCATAGATTACTTTGCAGGACATTTCTATTGAGCTAAGACCAACCACAAGGCTAAGTTTGGATCTAATGATTTTTGAGAAAACATTACTACAAAAAAGCCTTATCTCGAATGAAGAAAAGATTCCCAATGGTTAGAATTCCCAGTATACTAGAGAACACTGTAAAGCATAAGTTATTAAGAGTATAATATTATGGATTGTGACTGTCCCCTAAGTAAACCTGAAGGCTTGTCATAAAGTTAAAATGATAACCCGGTAAATTGATAAAATTAATATACTATTTTAAGTCACAATTGTTTAACCATAAAGAGGTCTCATGGATGTGCTGCTTTTCTTTTAATTAAATTAAAAGGTCTCCTCTGTAGTTATTGATGTGTGAACATATTTCCATAGAGAATTATCTAGATGAAGAGCAAAGCATTCAAATACAGTCAAATGCGATTGTATAAAGGTACTATACATTCATTCATTAGGAGAGTGTTCTAATATAAAATCAAAAGTAAAGCATGCCATAGGTAATTATTAGTGGCTCAGTTGTCAGTTAGTCAAATCAACAAAAAGGCCAATTATTCTAAGGATAGCCAAGATGGAACGCTCATTGTTGGAATTGAGTTGTTTTGAGATAGTTATGGCCCCTTTTTATGGTATAAATTAGTTTCCCAGTGAGAACATTTGGGACATAATTTCATATGTTGTAAATTATCCCTAAATTTTAAATCTTTAACATTTGGAGAGAAATATGATACTACCTTTAAAAGCCAAGTAAGGTATTAAAAGGAAAAACAGATAATTAAAATTTTAGATTAAGTTAGAATAGTACTTCCTTTTTTCCAATTTCAACACCTATATAACTCAAGAAACTGTATCAAAGACAAGTAAGTTTTCATTCAACTTAGTAATCATATCCATAGTTTATTTCTTAGCATGGAATTGAACTTATTGGTATATGTTGGAATAATTCGTTAAGAATAATAAAAAATTTAAGTGTTTTTAAATTTGAGAAAGAAGTGAACAACCACATATATAGAAAGCCTACAAAAGTATCAGGAGTAGAAAATGCCATGAGTGTCTAACACTTAGTGTCAAAAACATGTGTCCAAAGTATATTTGTAAATACAGTCTATTTGTAAATATAGTCTTCCTTCATCTCAGAATTAAAATTGTACAGTGGCTCTGGTATATTAAATTCCATCTCTAGGCTCTGCCAGTATTCAGTACCAGGCTATTCAAAACATTAGCTCAGTGAGAAATTGTTCTGGATAGTCACTCCCTCCTCATTGCTACCTGGGGTCCCAATTCACTGCTCCACCATGGCAGTTCTCACCAGGTATACTGATTGCCTTCTAGTCTGTCCCCTCTGTGGACTGTGTTCCCAGACAGCAAGGATTGTAGCTCATATATTGCTCTAGCCCCAGCCCCCAGCTCTTAATAAGTGTGTTTGATTAAATCAAATAAACACACAAAAAGCGTGATATTCAACCATTCTCAAATCCAGCTGTACAGTAGAATTACCTGAAGATCTTTAAAAACATTTATCCTCAGAAAACTTAAATCAGAATCTCTGGAGGTGAGAAGCTCTGGGATATGTATTGTTTAAAAATCTTCCCAGGCACCAGAAGCTGGGAAGAAGGGAATGAGGAGTGATTTTTAATGGGTATAGAGCTTCAGTTCTGCAACATGAAAAAGTCCTGGAGATCTGCTTTCCAACTATGTAAATATACTTCACGCTACTGAATAACACAGTTAAAAATACTTGAAAATACTTGAGATAATAAACTTAATGATACTTTTTTTTTTTTTTTTTAGACAGAGTCTCGCTCTGTCGCCCAGGCTGGAATGCAGTGGTGTGATCTCAGCTCACTGCAGCCTCCACCTCCTGGGTTCAAGTGATTCTCCTGCCTCAGCCTCCTGAGTAGCTGGGCTTATAGGTGCACACCACCACGCCCAGCTAGTTTTTGTATTTTTAGTAGAGATGGGGTTTCACCATGTTGGTCAAGCTGGCCTCGAACTCCTGACCCGCCCACTTCAGCCTCCCAAACTGCATACCAAAAACTACTTGTTCCTTAAAAAAGAAAAAAGAAAAAGAAAAGGAATCCAAGGCTAAATATGTTTCAGAAAATCTAAATGTCTTACCCAGAATAAAAATGCTCATTAGAAAATTTAAAACTTTAAGAAATCCCACAATTCAGAAATCTATTTAACTTATTTGTTTCCAAAACTTATTTGATTATATCATTATGAAAGAACCCTTCTCCCTCAAACTGGTTTTTATTCTTGAAAATGAATTATAGCATGGAGCAATGCCTCTCAACCTTTTGATGTCCACAGCACACTTTTGAGTACTAGAATCCCTAACAGTAGGCTTGAAAGGGAAAAATGACTCAAAGGAGCAGTAAACAAGACAGCAATGATTACAAACCATCACCAATGCAACATAACAATATTTACAATGTCTAAACATGCATGCATTCACAGTTACTGCATCGTATTATTTTATCCCCCTGAAATGCTGTTGTTTTGTGATGGAGCTACATACTTCCCTAATCTCTCTCTCCCATATGTTCTCCAGGCAGTTCTCACATTTCCTAGTGAACACTGGCACTGGTCTAACACTAAATCATGTCTCTTACCTTTACTCACATGATGTTGCATACCATGCGAGATCCTGTTTAACGTAGATATAAAAATGAAAACCTACTTTAATGCTTTATATAGACATTTTATTCCCTTTGAATACAGAAAGGATACACATTTTGCAAATTTTCATCTAATTTATTTTTCATAAATTAGATGAAAACTACAGGGCAGAATGATACTATTATAAAATCTGGGCACTGCTAAACTCTGTGGTGTATTTGAGAGGCACATAATTGGGTTCCTTTAATCCAGGCGGCAACCCATTATATTCTTTCTTTCACAGTGAATTGCATGTCAGAATAGCCACCGGGGGAAAAAAAAAAGGCATCATGATAACCCTGTTTTTCTCAAACTGTTATTTTGAAACCTGCTTGATAGTGCAGTCAACTCTGCAGTGTGGTTATTTAGTAAAGGTGAAATTATAACACTACAACATTAAAGATTCCTGACTTGCACTTTCATTGACTAGTATCAGGAAAATCAATCTAAAAACATTTAAATCACTTGAAATGTGTAACTGCCCACCCCAACTCCATCATAAGGAATGATGATATTCATAACATAATATTAAATATAGAACATTTATATTAGGTAATTTTAATTATAAATGATGTTATGAAGCCTGATTGAGAATAAAATTTGGCTACAGTTCTCCTTTTTGTTCCACAACTAGATTAATAAATGGGTTTTAGTATTTTTACTGGGTTAAAGAGTCAAGCTAGAAAAAAGAAAGAGAGAAAAGAAGAGTTTGTATAACCACATGCACAAAAAGAAATCTTGGAATAATTATTTTAACTAATGTGACTATTAAATGGAATTTTGTTTTACTTATTTGAAACACATCAACTGAGGTTGATATATTTTGGTCTTAGTGCTGTTTATGGTTATAATGTTGACATCTTCCTCTTAAAATGTTAGGCAAATCATAGGTAATCAATTAAAATACAATTTATACAACTGATGGGTTGAAAAAAGATAGACAATGTCAGAAAACAAAATCATAGTTCATTTCATTGCTATGAGAAAACTAAAAACTCAGTTGCTTTATAAAATGAGCTTGAGCCTAGTTGTAAATTTTGTAAGCCTTTTCTCATTAAAAAATATATATATATAGTATTAAAAGTTCCACTTACTGAAGGCTCTCGGGCCTTCCGATCTTAACATGTACGAGATGCCTACTGAGGAGTTTGGTTGCATAGGAATCTTGACTACAGAGACCTTGCAGAATCTGGCGCTTTTATTTTCACCTGTTAAAAAAATATGAAAGTCAAGCTGTTCTCTTAAGCAATGGGTTTGATCTTCTTAAGCTGTATTGCTATATAAAACAATATTAAACTGTATTGTCTCTTTGCATGTGAGTCCAAAAGGAAGAACAATGATAATTTTCCTCAGAAGACTTTTATCTCCTCCCCCAACACACATACACACAAACAGATAAGTAGAAATTTTAAAAGGAAAAGAATAGTAGTGAATTTGTAAACTATTTCTTAAACACACTCATTCACTTGCATTGTAGACGTTACTCTAGTGAAATAGATCTAACTGACTGAGATAAATGTAAAGAGATGTATCTTCATCATTATCTTATTCAAGGGCATTTTTCTTACAGCATAGCACAAATTAAAGCTTCTATACAATAGCCGTAACTAATTTCATATACCTAATTCCAAAGTTCATCATCCAATAAGAGAAAAAATATTTTTCTGTTTTAAGGTAGCACACATTTCTCTCTCAAAAGGGTCAACAATTTCTGGCTCCAGATACTAAGACATCCTCTGGCTTGCTCCCCAAAAGGCCATGTCATTCTTATACAACTTAATCAGTGGCTACACAGAGGAGAGCAACACTGCAATCTTTCTGATCATTTTAATGAGGACCCCTGGCTATTCAGTCATTGAAATATAATTGACTTGCTCTCCTCTTATTTTCATAATAGACACTCCAACCTAGACCACGTTTATTTGGCTATAAGAAATGTCAGGAAGAATTGGAACTTTTCTGAGTGTCCCCATTAAAACTGAAAACATGCCACCCTGTCTTTTACATGAGCTGCAATCATTTTGTGTTGGTCTCATTATGCAATACAACATGCAAATATTCCAGTCGCCTTCTCACCAAACTGCAAGGCCAAGAAAATAAGCACACCAAAAAAGTCTTACTTTATCTGTCCTTTTTTCTTACAATTTAATATATTTGTCCAATGTTTAGAAAAATTAGCAGCAGAAATAAGTATAAGTGTTCCTGTCGTAACTGATATTTAATAAGGTTGCAAAGTGAGACTGATGCCTTTCTACTTAATGATTACTCTATTTTCATAAAATGCAAAACTTTTCTCCATGAAATTACATAGTCTACTTAAGGATCAACTAAACATTATTTACAAAGTTATTATGTTTATACTGAGAGGTTTAGGTTTTCAAAAGTGATGTGCAAAATAAATTACTGTAATCTTTGAAACAACGTGAGCCCCACAAATTATTTTATAATTTGGAGTTTTCAAACTTACATTAGTTTAAACTTGAACAACCAAAAACTTTGATAATAAGGAACTTTAATCACAGTATAAATTTAAAAGCTAGTCCACCATGGAAAAATTATTTTCATAAATCCCTATAAAGTAGGCTAAGCACCTTCTCATCAGATATTTTTTTCTTAACACAGAATATTCAGATTAGAAATGTCATTCATCATAATCATAATCATAATCATTCCATTCATTTCTATGTCAATTAAGATAAATTTATATTTGCTTTTGACAAAAGTGTTGGAGGAAAGGGATTCCTGTACTGTTAACATACTTTCGGAGGGAAGTTTAGCAATATTTAGCAATTTTAATGGACATTCCCTTTGACTCAGCAATTCCACTTTCATGAATATGTCCTCTAGTTGAACAATAGCATATATATTCATATATCTATACACACACACACACACAAACACACATATACACGGTTGACCCTTGAACAACTCAGGTTTGAACTGCACAAGTCAACCTATACTGGAATTTTCTTCTACCTCTGCCACCACAAGACAGCAAGACCAACAGTTCTTTCTCCTCCTTCTCTTCCTCCTCAGCCTACTCAACATGAAGAAAATAAGGATGAAGACCTTTATGCTGATCCACTTCCACTTAATGAATAGTAAACATATTTTCTCATCTCTATGATTTTCTTAATATTTTCTTTTCACTAGTTTATTGTGAGAGTACAGTAGATGATACCTACAACATGCAAAATATGTGTTAATGACAGTTTCTGTTATCAGCAAAGCTTCCAGTCAACAGTAGGCCATTAGTTAAGTTTTTGGGAAGTCAAAAGGTATACATGAATTTTCTACTGCATAGGGACCCGGGGTTGGGGACGATGATCAGCATTCCTAACTCCCACATTGTTCAAGGGTCAACTGTACACACAGATTTTTGTACATGGAAATACATTTACTCAGATGTTTGTTACACCATAGCTTATATTTGGAGATAAAAAACACCAGAAGTAAACCAAATATCCCAGAGGAAGGCTGACTAGATATGTGATGACTTATTCATCTTCATATAATTAAATACTATATGTCCAATAAGTGAGGTAAATATAGATATTACTACTGGCATAGATATTGCTAAGCGAAAGACAATGTTGCAAAAGTATATAGAATGTAGTCTTTTTTTCTAAGATAATATACAGGTTAACGTATGCATTTAAAAATTTAGAGAAATATACAGCAAATTGTTAACAGTGATTATCTCTACAGTATTAAAGTAGGGAGTCACTCTATATTGAACATTTATGATTCGTTTATGCATTCAGCTAAATATTTTTACTATTTATCCATTTATTTATTTATTTATTTTTGAGATGGAGTCTCACTCTGTCGCCCTGGCTGGAGTGCAGTGGCGCGATCTCAGCTCACTGCAACCTCCGCCTCCCGGGTTCATCAGCTAATATTTATTTAGCACATACAATGTGCCAAGTGATCTTCAAGGTGTCAGGAAACCTAGGGAGCAAAACAAAGTCATCAGTGTGTGATCCTTTTAAAATCAGAAAAAACAATACAATTCCTGGGATTTCAGCTATTTTAAGGAAATAAAGAAGTGAGAACCATTCATCCCATTACCCCTGTTAAGACTCTTTACCCCTTTTTTCTTGTCCAGAACTTTTTTGATGTTAACCTAATCACAGCCAGATTTTTTTTTTCTGAGACAAAGTCTCATTCTGTCGCCCAAGGTTGAATGGAGTGCAATGGTACCATCACCACTCCCTGCAACCTTGGCCTCCCAGGCTCAAGCGATCCTCCCACCTCAGCCTCCTTAGTAGCTGGAACTAAAGGCATGCACCACCACACCCGGCTAATTTCTGTATCTTTTGTAGAGATGAGGTTTCACTATTTTTCCCAGGCTGGTCTTGGCTCAAGTGATCCCCTGGCCTCGGCCTCCCAAAGTTTTGGGACTACAGGTTTGAGCCACCACACCTGAAGATCTTAATATAAGCTATCATTAAAGCAATCTCTATTAGGTCTAAATGTCTTATGAAAAAGATTGTATTATACTTTATTATCTATAAAACTTAAATACTTTTGTTACTATATATCTGAACCTGCAATTATGTAAGAGTAATGAAGTACATTTGTGATTTCATTACATATACTTTGACAGTAATAAG
This sequence comes from Homo sapiens, assembly GCF_000001405.40. Taxonomy (NCBI): domain Eukaryota; kingdom Metazoa; phylum Chordata; class Mammalia; order Primates; family Hominidae; genus Homo; species Homo sapiens. Next base: position 99,747,214 of record NC_000006.12, on the reverse strand, counting down.
ATAATTATGTATACGTAAATATGACTATGTAACCATACACATGAATATTTTCACAAAGCTTAAATAATAACTATAATTGTTTTTACTCATGAACCACAAGATAATATTAAGCTTATGGATCTGTAATATTTCAATATCTTATTCAACTTACTACTAACATATATTAGAAGATTTTCAGATTGATACTAATATTGTAAGAGTATAGTAAATTTTATTAAAACGTATATGTTTCTTATACAATATGTAAATGCTAATATTAATTCATATGCTTCAATTTTTTTAAAATCTAGTATGTATTCTCTCAAAAATGTCCTAATATGAGGGTTTTTTTTCCTTTTTTCCCTTTAAATTAACAAAAAGTATTTAAAGAATTATTCACAAAATGTCTTTGACTTCAATGAAAACTCATACTTATTAAAGGTAAAATTTTTAGAAAGTACTTAGGGTTCTTATTCATAATGTTCTGAACAAATTATAACTAACTCCACTAGGATGGACAAACAGACAGATACAAAATATGTAAGGGGGAAAAAAGCCAACAAATAAATTCTAAATACTTACAAAGCAACGTTGTAATGTAATAGCCGTGGTCCCCTGACAGTGAGACTAATCACTGTGAAAGGACATCTATTCAGAAAGTGTATTCATTTGCATCATACATGAATTGCCTAGCCCTAAACTCCCCAACGCTAAAGTACTTGTGCTACAGCTGGCTGTAATTTACACAAATTTCACTAGATGGCAGTGTGGGTCGAGTAGCCAAATGTTTACAAGTCATGTCTTCAAATTTGATACCAGACTAAGAACATTACACAACTGGACTCCTTGTTATCATCAAAAATAGATTGTGGCTGGGCACGGTGGCTCACGCCTATAATTCTAGCACCTTGGGAGGCTGAGCTTGAGCTCAGGAGCCAGATACCAGCCTGGGCAACATGGTGACACTCTGTATTAAAAAATAATAATAAAATAAAAAGTGTTTTATGAATAAAAGACACATCACATAAAAGCATAATAAAAAGACAATGTGAAGGAGCAAGATTTTAAACAAAAAACACTCTGAGCACATTTGCTCTGCTGTTTATCTCTCCTAGTATCTCAAGCTTGAGGGTGCTTAGGACACACACCTGAGAAACTTGTTTAGAATTCACATTTCCAGTCCCTGCTCCCACCCTTGAGATTCTTAATGAGAATGTCTGCAACAGAACAGAGCTCAATTTTCAAGAAATATCTAAGGTTGTTCTAATACAGCAGGATCATGAGAAACACTGCTCTAAAGCATGAATCCCCAAAGAAGTGGCACATTTGTATCATCAGCTCCAATCCAGTCACTCCTGTGACCACAATACCCAGCCCATCCCTTCCTGCATTCTCCACATATCTGAAATATTGTATTCGAATGTCAGCACATTAAAGATATCAAAGCAAGAGTGGAAACTGTTTCTAGCCTTGGCAACAGCTCAAAGACTCATCCCTTCAAAAATAACTTTAGAGGAATTTATTGCCAAGCAGAAGCCCCTGGACTGCAATGAATTTACTATTTGCATCGACTATGATAAACTTAACGATTTTTAAAGAAGTTTGTCAAACCATTCACTCCTGAAGCAAAAAGAGCTGTACCAACCACCTTTTGTCATCTATCCACCATTCTGACTCTTGAATTGGACTTCTAAAAATTGTCCTATGTATTTCTTGCATTTCTCTACTTTTTGTCCACACAAAGCCATCCCTTCCCACTTGCCTCCTGGACCATAATTCTCCTGCACCCTACGCAGCATCCACCTGCTCTGTCTTTGTTCATGACCTATCGAATCTCGCCTCCATCTTGGCTTCTCCCATAAAGACCTAACATCTCAGGCCAGGCACAGTGGCTCATGCCTGTAATCTCAGCACTTTGGGAGGCCAAGACAGAAGGATCGCTTGAGCCCAGGAGCTCGAGACCAGCCTGGGCAATATAGGAAGATCCTATCTCTTCAAAAAATAAAATTAGCTGGGCATGGTGGCATGTGCTACTCAGGAGGCTGAGGTGGGAGGATTTGTTTCAACCTGGGAGGTCGAGGCTGCAGTGAACCCTGTGATCACGCCACGGCATGCCAGCCTGGATGACAAAGCAAGACCTGCCTCAAAAAAAAAAAAAAAAAGAGAGAGAGAGAGACCTAACATCTCACATTTTCCCACTTAAGAATCTGGCATTAGTGGCTGTCATCTGTAATAATTACCAATTCGTGTCTAATCTTGAAAGAATACTGTGAGTGGCAGATTTAAAGAATAAAGAATCTTTAAGTCAATGCTATGTAATAGTGTTACTTGAAAACTGAGCTCTGTTCTGTTGGAGACCTTCTGATTAAGAACCTCAAGGGTGGGACCAGGGACCAGAAATGTGAATTCTAAACAAGCACTAATTACTAAGTAATTTAGTGTTTAATTACTAATAGAAGTGCCCACAAGTATTTCACCAATTAATGTAGTTTTTATTGACTGTGGGTAATTCATCTCTACTGTGTTTCAGTTATTTTCATCCACTCCTAGAGTTTTTATAAGGAGTAACTACTAAATTTTATCATATTTGAAGTAACTTGAAATAATTAGATGGTTTCTCTCCTTTAATTCATTAGTATGGATATTTCTATTGCTAGATTTCTAATCTTGAACCATTCTTTGATTCCTGAAATAAACTCTATGAAGTGATTTTTCTTTTACTATCCTGCTGGATTAGGTTGGTAGTAACCTTTTCTTCAATGACTTTGCATTTATGTAATTTTTGTCATCTTATAATTCTAGATTAGTTTCATCTAGGAGTTAACTGATCTTTACAAGTTGGCTAGTCCTTAGTAGTAAAACTATCTGGGCTTGGTGCCTTTGTAATGATAGATCTTTACTTTTCTGATCTCTTCTACAGTGATTGGTCCATCATGATTTTATATTTTGTGGGGAATCAATACTAGTGTTTTCCTAGGAAATAATTCATTTTCTCTAGTTTTTCAAAATCATTGTCTTAGGGTCATATATAATGTTTCCTTGTAAATCTATCTTTCCAATTGTGGTTGTATCTATAATTTTTGATGTTTGTCTACAGAGAGTTTTCAAGCTCCAGGACACTCTCTTCCCCTTCCAGTCTACTTTTGGGTAAGCTGATAAACTCCCTCTTTTGGTACTGGTGGGATGTTCAAACAACGCAAGCCCCAACCCACATGTGGGAACCTTCACCTCAGCCCTAACCTTTAACCACAATAAACCACAAACCAGTCTCCTTTCCCTGCACTCTCAAGCCATTTTTGGACCTGCCTAAGAGCCTGCCCTAATCTTCCAAAAAGCTTCATTATATGAGCAATAAATCTTTACGTGCTCTCTTGATGCATGTGTGATGTCATCATTCTTGACATCCAAAGAGGCAGAGGGAAGGCAGGTGTCCATCCCACCTCTGGAGGGTAACATTAATTGGTGCTGTGAGCAGTGTGTCTGAGTAATGACCACTACCATAAGGGTGTCTTTCTTCTCTTGCTTTAGCTTGCTAACTGGCTGTGCTGCTTCATCTTGCATTTGCTGAGTCCTACAGAGTCTGTTCTAGATTCAACCAATCTAAGTCAGAAATTTCTATAATTGGCATTTGGGGACAGAGCATGGGACTAGGGCCCTCATTAGAGTGGCCCTGGGTCATACGTCTTGGCTTCACTTATATGTACATCTCAGTTTAAATACTCTGACTTGATTCCAGCATAAGCCATGACTGACATTAGACTCTGGAAAACAACTATTACCCTATGACCTTTGGTTGTGTGTCTCAACCCACTGTTGTCTCCTACTCTATAGAGGCTTCCAGGAAAAGACCAATTACCTGTGCAATATATGGGTCCACTGCATCTTCACTGTGTGGAGAAAGAGCAGTCATCATGAGGCATGCTGAGGTCACACTTTCAAAAATGGCTGGCTCACCAGGACCCTACAAAATGTCTTTATGCTACTACTGCCTATGCCTTTATTGTTAAAATGATCCTGATCCTCATGGTTACAGGAAAATCACCCGTGGTACCCATGGCACAGTCATAGAGTTCATTCAAACCCAACTTAATCCAGGGGCCTTAATCCAAAAATGCAACCACATCCATGGGCAGCCCCTAATCCTGAGAAAACTAATTTGATACTCTGAAAGAAGAAACTTATACAGTAAATATAAGCAGGGAGAGGGGATCCACCTCTCCCACCAAAATATATCCAGTAATAAAAGAGAGAGAGAGAGAGAAAGGGACGGAGGGAGACACAAGTGGGAGAAACAAAAACCTGAAACAAAGGTCCACAATTAGAACCACTACAATTAATTTGGTCCCAATTGGGAATACAAAATGTATTAAAAGAATTTATACAACAAGAAAATAAAAGGAGACTGACTGGCTTTTGCGCCTCATAATATAGGTTCTGAATTAACTTTAATATCTGCTGAGATGCACCAAGTGGCAAAACTTCATGGTCTTAATCAACACTGGAGCTCAAATTACAGTTTTACCTGGGGATCCCATGAATTTAAACAAGATTATCTTCTATAATCTTAGGGGAGTCACTGAACATAAACTAGAAGACAAACAGGTATGCCTCACCTTAACCTAAATTCCACATAGTCATAGCCCCCATTGCTATAAAATATCCCATGATGGGCATGGAAACTCTGACCCAATGAGTAATAAATTAAAATTTAATTAAGTCTTTTGGCACTTATGAAATGCTTGATAAAAAGGGGGCCCATGAACCTCCCCACTATCTCTGGTTAAAAGTTACTAGGGCCCAGTATAAATTAAAACAGGGCCTTCAAAGATTGAAACCCATTATTCAAGACCTATTTAGAGAAGATGTGACTATCCCCACTGCTTCTCCATTTCTCAATAATACAACAACCCAATTTGGCCTATTCTTACAACTGGGGAAAGAACAAAAGGCATCTCATGGTGAATTATCACAACCTTATTGCCAAGGCATCACCCATTAAGGTCTTTATACTCAATAGTGTTGGAATTACTGACACCACGCAGTAAGCAAATAGTAGATACTTCACATCCACAGATTTGGCTAATATGTTCTGCTCAGTGCCTATTTCACCAGACTCACAGCCGTGGCTTGCTTTTTCCTACCCAGGAACACAATACACCTGTTCTAGGCCATCCATGAGGTAGTGCCATGGCTCTACCATTGCACACAGTATTTGCAGGCAAGAACTCAACTGCAGCCAACTTTCTCAGTACATAGGTATGGCATGACACGGATGGCGTCCTCTACTGAAAACATTCATTGGTTACACGCATTCAGGACAAAAAATACATAGAACTTCACAAAACAGAGATGGAATATTGTCCCACACATAGTACAAGGCTGCACCATCTCAGTTAAATTCTTGAAATTATTTGGTAAGCTGAGGGCTTGGATCTGGCTCTGACATCACGTGCCAGGCTCTTCCTTTGAGGGGATGCTCTTCCCACCCTTCCCGGGCTCTAATTCCCATGCCAGGCTGCCCCTGCCCCACACCTATAATGCCTTCCTTGCTGTGCTCCACATAAAAGGTTTAGTACTGAATTTTTCATAAAAAGAAAGAAGAAGTAGAGGAAAAGCTATGTGTTAACTTTCAAATGAAATAATTTTTAAGTTGTGTATAAAGAAAAAATAAGCCTTATTTCCTTAAAGTTTAATTTATTTTTCCACTTGAAATGAAAAAGAATTTTTCAATCAGATGAATGAAACTTCTTCAGTCTTTATTTTAAAAATGCAGCCAGAATTGAGTATCTTTACTCTGCTGCAGTCAGGAAAATCAGTAAATCTAAGCAGGAGATACAGAAGTATGTTATCAGAAGAAAGGGAATTTTATAGTCTTTGGGAAATAATTTAATATTTATTAGGCACTTATTTAATATTATTTAATCATTATCATTATCTTATTTTAATAAAACTTTTAATTTTAATAAAATATTTTAATAAATATTAATCATCATCATTATCATTATCTGATTCATTTTAATAAAACTGTTTCTGTCTATTATTGTGGCACACCAAAACAGCAAGATGGATCTTTACTAAATTTGGAGGGCATATTTGAGGCAAACTTACTTGAAATATAAACTCTGTGTTACACATTCAATTTCCTTCGAGAGCCCTAGATTTTTATTTGTAACAGCTAACAAAAGTATAGAGTTTCACACATCATCTGATTGGGGAATACATGTCCTGTGTATTAGGATCCTGAGGAAAGAAACAAACTGTGGCTTCAGATATTAGCCCCAAATCAAACATCACAGGTACGTTCACTCTCCATTACCAATTTGTGATCCAGCTGCTTCTTATGTGGATAACTCCTGACATCGAAACAGGCAGAATGGTTGCCTATGGATGATAATGAAGTTAAAGGAAATTTTTATTTTATTCTATGTGATTGTCTCTGTTTTCTCAATGTTATCCAATACACATGTACTGCATGAGGGGAAATATTTAATAGCAATAACAGCTACTGTCTATTTTAAACACTGTCTATTCCTACAAGTATGGCTGAAGCCACTAATATAATGTAAGTGATCTGTTTCTCTTTTTCTCCTCTTACTCCCTATAACATTTTTTCTAATTTTTATGTAGCACTTTTGCATCTTGCTTCATATATACCTTGACATTATTTTTCTTCCTTAAGTGGAAAAAACCTTTGAATTCTGAGATTGGATTTTAATCATCTGTATATCTCCACCACCAGGAAACACATTATCTTACAATATGAGAGAAGATAAACAAATAATTGCCAGGGAAAATGAACAAATAAATGAATGGCTACTGTTGATTAAATGAGGCTAAGCACTTTTTTTAAGGAAAAATCCATTGGTAGTGTCTACAATATTATAGGTATATGACATCCAAAAATGTTACATGGGGTCAGCATTTCTGGGAAGAATATGGTTAGGCAGATCTGAATTAGGGAGCTTCCAGATTGCCAGAGGAAAGGAAAGGGGGATCTGGCAATACAGTGTTTACCACCAGGGTCTCAGCAAGCCTTCCAGGCTAACTGCCTGCTCATCTGCTGCAGCTCCTGATTTCAAACAGGTGAGCCATAGACACTGGCCTCTTCTTGCCTCAGGTGCTCCCAGAATCATCATAATTGGTAAAGCTATTATGGGATACAACTTCTGTGCATGCACAGTGAACATCCACACTCTTGTTTCATAGAGAACTGTTCTCAACCCAGGGAAAAACTACTCCACAGTGAGTGCCTTATCACTCTTCAACTCTCAAAAGATCTTCTTTACCATGGCTAATTTCTCTCTGGGTTTCCAGCTCAAATGAAAATATTATTGTTGTTTCATCTTTCCCCAGCATTTTTTTTCATTTTAGGCTTCCCTGTAACAATAAGACTTCAGCTCTAAGGGCAGGCATTTGGACCTTTCTGGCAGGGACTCCTGCCCTGGGCAAGCACACTTGATGATCATATGGTGCATGGTCCCTCCTCCCATGACCATCTGCTAGACTGGCTCTCTGCCGACTCACAAGCTCACTGAATTGTTTCACTAGGACACAGGTGCCAGGCTATCATGGGTTTAAATAAGCAGCTCACATAATACAACAAAATGTTCCTCTTCCCTTCAGGAAGATCCTTCCCCCATGACAGCCTTAAAATAGTGCCACTACATGGCTTCTGAAGCTTGATTAAAGCCAGAGACATGGGCGAGCCAAAGATAATATTGTAAGAAGCAAACCCTGAGAGATGAGTGCTCACAGAGCAGAGCAACAGTGGCTTCAATAGCTGTGGTGCAGGTAGAGGGGTGGGGTGAACCAGAATCCTAGGAATCTAGAAGGAAAGAAGTCATCACTCCAAGCATATTTAACTGGATCCTTAAAAATCAAAAAGAGAAATCTAAATTGTGTATGTGACTATACTTTAACCTACAGCAGAGAGGAGCAGAAGTAATACGGGACTTAGAGCCAAAGACATGCGTGCACAACTCAACCCTGCCACTTGATGAAGATCAGTCACCCTCTGAATCTTCAGGTTCTTAACAGTTAAGTGGAAATAATAATAATACTATGTTACTATCACTATGGCTATGTAACAATCATTCCAAATCTTAGGGGTCTAAAACAACAATAATTTTTAAATTCTCAAAAACTTGGGAGCAGCCCAACTGGGCAGTTCTAACTCAGGGTCCCTTGGAAGGTTGCAGTGAGTGGATACTGTGCCTGGGTCCTCTCAAAGGCTTCTTCACTTACACATCTGGGCTGAAAGGACTGGAAGATCTGGCAGCTGGAACCACTATGGCTCTTCAGGCATCTCTCTGCATCTCTGTATGCTCTTTCCTTCTGGTCTTTCCAGCATGGCAGCTTCAGGGTCACTAGACTTCTTATGTGGTGCCCCTAAAGGAGTGTGGCCTGAGAGAGCAAGCCAGGAGGAAGTCGCATTATGATGCAGACTTGAAAATCAAGTTGTGTCACTTTCACACATTCTATTGGTAGGCAGTCACAAAGGTCTATCCCACCTTTTCATGGAGAAATGTCAACATATGAATTATAAGAAGAGCATGGGGGTGAGATATATACCCTCAACCTTTGAAAACTACAAGCTGTCATGCCATACAAGGTTGTTATAAGGATTAAATTATATTATTCACATTCAGTTTATAAGCTGTAAAGCACTATACAAAGTTATTTTTATAATAGTAAGAATAAAATCCTATATGTCTTTTTTTTGTCCCACTCTATTATAGAAGGTAATTTCTAAAGATAAGGTGAAAGGGCATAGTAAACTTTCAAATGGAGTTAAGACAGTAGTAGTAGCACAGAAACCATCTTTATTCAAAGATTTATGGTACATTATTTATACCAATAAATTTTAACAGGTTTATACATTTATTTTGTCATATTTCTTTTAAAAAATCACCTGCCTTAAGAATACTTTTTTCTGCCTTGATGCAATGGTTCACACCTATAATTTCAGCACTTTGGGAGGCTGAGGTAGGAGGATCACTTGAGGCCAGAAGTTTGAGACCAGCCTGGACAACATAGCAAGACTCTGTCTCTACAAAAAATGAAAGAATTAGCAGGGTGTGGTACCACGCCCCTGTAGTCCCAGCTACTCAGGAGGCTGAGGCGGGAGGATTGCTTGAGCCCAGATGCTCAAGGCTGCAGTGAGCTATGATGACCACTGCACTCCAGGTTGAACAACAGAGCAAGACCCTGTGTCAAAATAATAAAAATAATACCTTTTCCTTTCTTGCAGTCTAGTGGAACCTAAATGCAAGTCTTGGATTTTGCCACTAACCAAACAGAATACGTATTGGGGAACTGTCTTATTTGGGGGTTCAAATGATCTCTAAAGTTTCTATAAGTTCTAGAAAATTGGAAGTCTAAGCCAGTTGGATTCACTTTACTAATTCAATGCATTAAATTTGTAAAGCATTTATTTATAGACAGGTCTCAAGTGTCAACTTTTGATTTACAAATATGCTTACATTGAAGGAATAACAACACAGATAGAAGATGGTGAAAGAAAGGAGACAGAAAGATTGACCCTACCTAACTCTCTCTGAGTGGGTGGGTTCCAGAAGAGAAGGGCTTCCAGGGTTCAGGGTTCAGTCCCCTGTAAGGTGAATCCTAGAGGAGAGAATGAATGAGACTCTGTGGTCTGAGGTTCCCAGGAAGTACACCTAGCTACCTAAAGGAAACTGGGATCTAATCCTTACCTGACACCTAATTTCCAAAAAGTATTCCCCTGTAGACTCCCTCCAGATCTCCGGGTCCCCCAGTAAGATAAAGGTATCAGAAAAGTACAGGTTCCCTGAAGGCTGTAATTATTTTAGACTGTCATCACTGTTAGCATGAGAGAAGTTTGCCCATCAGTTGTTATTAATGAAAATTACTCAGGTGATATTTTTAAATAAAAAAAGCAAGATGCGGAATCGAGTATGCAACCATGTCTATAAAAAATAACATATATACATAGGTACATATATATTCATTCTATAAATAAATACTTGCCCAGTGAATATACGTATTTTCATTTGCATAGAATATCTCTCTGAAAAGATACACACAAAACTGGAGGCAGTTTCCCAAAGGAAACTGAGGGGCTGGGAGAGAGAGGAAGGGAAGGAAATCTTGCTTTCACTAAATTTACTTTTGTACTTTTACACTTTGTACCATGTACATACATTATCTATTCAAAACCTTGTTTGAAGCTGCTCTGGGATAACTAGTGGCCAGCGTGCTTGCAAATGAACTAGCATGGAGCTCCATGATCAAAGAAAGAACCCCAAGCTCTTCATGCCTTGCTTCTTTCTCACACTAGGATTGCACTGGTTTCTATTTAAAGTGCATCATAAAGTCATATCATAAAGACTTTTTAACTTATCATCTTAGCCTGGGTTCCCTCTGAAAACAAAACCTAAAGAAAAGGCTTAAGTGCAAGCAGTTTATTTGAGAAGTGATTCCAGTTTGCAGAATGAAGGAAAAGGTAGTTAATATAGGAGGGAAAGACTCTCCCGGGAGGGGTTCATAGTTGGCCACCACTATGGTTTCCTCAATCCTGAGGGAATGACTGAGAAGATATCTCAGAACCTGACTGGGACAAGAGAGAATGGGATAGTTGTTCATTGGGTCCTGTCACCATTCAGCAAGGTTGCTCCCAAAAGGGTTGCATTTGCCTGTACTACAGGATTTCATAAAATGTTCCACCTGCAGGTGTCACAGAAACCCCAGACAAAAAGCAAGTGGTGTTCCTAGTGCAGGCCTGAGGTGAGGCACCGACAGGATGTACTGAGTGAGGCTGGCTGAAGCCTGCCCAGACCTGGTCACCACAGCAGGAGCTGGGGTAAGATGGGAGACAGAGAAGTGTCCAATACATTTATAAGAAATTCCTTCTTCAACAGCTTTCTTCATTAATTCCTTTTTCATCAGTCTTCTTCATCATGCTGTTGCTTTTCTTTCCCTAGCCAGAAAAAGGACATCGATCTTGCACTTTTGAAGAGGAATTTTACATGTAAAAACACTACCAATGTGCTTGTAGACATAAGGAATATTTCTGGAAGGACATTCAAGATAACTTGTTTTGTTCATTTCAAAATAAAACCAGCTTTAAATATAAAAATGTTTAAACACATAAAAGTAAGCATCATAATTCAGAAATTTTGCAAGATACTAAAAAAAAAAACCACAGGCATTTGATTAAAGATGGAGGTTTGAATGTATACATTTACCTCTATTCTGTCTGAAACCCCATTAAAATGAGAGTAAAGGAATATTTTTAAGTATAAACCCATGAAGCAAAGACAACAGAAGATGATAAAATAGCAACAAAATATTGGAAGCTGGAAAGTACATGGGTAAATGCTAAGTGAACCAGCAGACTGGAGAATGCTGAAACCTGTGTCAGCAGTGGGGGAAACAAAGCTGTACACTGATTTGCCTCATAGAACTCCAGTCATACTCAGAAATTACAGGGGCAGGTACCTATGAAAGTGGAATTTTTTAAACAGCTAAAACTAGGATAGTTATTTCAATTCAGTTTAGGAAGAAGTTAGAGTTTGGAACCCCCTCTCATTCCATGGAGCTGGGGGCTGCCCCTTTCCCACCCTAGTTGAAGGTAAGATAAGATAATAAGAGAAACTCTACTCTGAGGCACACCATGCAGAGTTAGGGTTAGAAGTACCTCTAAAAAAAGTCTATATACTGAAAGTTGAGGTCTCCAGCCCCTTCTTCTACTCAGCCCCCAGAATTCTGACAACTAGGTTTGTATCCTTTAGACAGGGGACTGAAAGCTTATTCTCCAGAGACCAATCCAATAGAAAAGTCCTAAAGATGCTCATAAAGATTCCCCTTGAAAAACAGCTGAACTAAATCACCTAGAAGTTAAGCCCACAAATTCACAAGCCCTTTATCCTCTAGACCCAGATCTTCTAATCAGTTATGTGGCACCCACATTTTACATATGAGAGGACTACTGAGGATCATCCGATATTGAGGAACACCAGAAACCAAAGGAACTTAGAAGAAAACAGTGACAACGTTAAAGAAATATCTTTTAATAAATATAATGAAGAAAATTTTTGCAATCTATCCATCTGACAAAGGGCTAATATCCAGAATCTGCAAGGAACGTAAACAAACTTACAAAAAAAAAACAAACAAACCCATCAAAAAGTGGGCAAAAGATATAAACAGACACTTCTCAGAAGAAGACATTTATGTGGCCAACAAACTTATGAAAAAAAAGCTCATCATCACTGGTCATTAGAGAAATGCAAATCAAAACCACAATGAGATACCATCTCACACCTGTTAGAATGGCAATCATAAAAAGTCAGGAAACAACAGATGCTGGAGAGGATGTGGAGAAATAAGAACACTTTTACACTGTTAGTGGGAGTGTAAATTAGTTCAACCATTGTGGAAGACAGTGTGGTGATTGCTCAAGGATCTAGAACTAGAAATACCATTTGACCCAGCCATCCCATTACTGGCTATAGACCCAAAGGATCATAAGTCATTCTACTATAAAGACACATGTACACAAATGTTTATTGTGGCACTATTCACAATAGCAAAGACTTGGAACCAACCCAAATGCCCATCAATGATAGACTGGATAAAGGAAATGTGGCACATATACATCATGGAATACTATGCAGCAATGCAAAAGAATGAGTTCATGTCCTTTGCAGGGACATGGATGAAACTGGAAACCATCGTTCTCAGCAGACTAACACAGGAACAGAAAACCAAACACCACATGTTCTCATTCAAAAGTGGGGGCTGAACAATGAGAACATATGGGCACAGGGAGGGGAACATCACACACCAGGGGCTGTTGGGGGGTGGGGGGCAAGGGGAGGGATAGCATTAGGAGAAATACCTAATGTAGATGACGGGTTGATGGGTGCAGCAAACCACCATGGCACATGTATACCTATGTAACAAACCTGCACATTCTGCACATGTACCCCAGAACGTAAAGTCTAAGTAATAAATAAAAAAATGTAAAAATAAAATAAACCTTTAATCTTCTCAGAAAAAATAAGAGAATATAATATTGTACTCACACAACAAGAATATGATGCTGTAGCAAGATTCAGAAAACAAGTAAAGCATTTTTGAAATTAAATATCATGATAGCAGAAATGAACTTCCATAGAAGGTCTACAATTCAAAAATAAAACAATCTCCCACAAAGTAGAATAAAAAGTCAAAGAATAAAATATTAAAGAACTGATTAAAGTCCAGGAGATCCAATATTCCAAATAATAGAAGTTTCAGAAAGATAAAATATGTTAAATGGAGGGGAAGAAAATAATCAAAGAAATAATTTAGGAAAAATTTTCAAAACTGAAAGACAAGAGTTTCTGGACTGATAGGACCTGCTAAGTGCACAGCACAATGATTTAAAATAAAATAAAACCATATCAGTCGGAAATTTCACAACACTAGAAACAGAAAGATATATATGCATGAAGACAAAAAAATAAAGATAAGATAGGCATTAGATTTATCAACAGTAATACTGGAAACTAAAGAATAATAAAGAAGTACTTTGAGTTTCTAAGAGGAAAATATTCCCAAGCTAGATTCACCCAGACAAATTATCAGTAAGTATGGGGAGGGGGGATCACTTTCAGACGTGCAAGTTTCCAAAAATATACCTCCCATGCACTTTCTCAGGAAGCTACTGAAAAATGTGCTCCTCCAAAATCAGGGACTGAACCAAGAAACAGGAAGACATACTATCCAGGAAATAGAGAGAAAACTTAAGAGAGAATAAAAGCAATCCCAGGATAGCAGTGAAAGCAAAACCAAGAGATACCTACACAGAGGCCTGAGGAACAGAATGAAAGAGCACAGAAGTTCTAGGAAAGATGTCCTCAAAAAGACAAAATGCATTTGCATTTTACTGCCTGCTAGAGGCTCACCGCACCTTTAAAGACAATCACCTCACCACTGAAGACTAAAATTGAAGAGACAGGATAAGATATTCCATGCAAACAGAAACCAAAAGTGAGAAGTAATTATACTTGTATCAGATACAATAGATTTTAAGTCAAAAACTGTAAAAAGAGACAAAGAAGGTCATTATATAATGATAAAGGGATCAATTCAACAAGGGAATATAACAATCATAAATATATATGCACTCAACATCAGAGCATGCAAACACATAAAGTAAATATTATTAGATCTAAAGGGAGAGATAGACTCCAATACAATAATAGTAGGGGACTTCAACACCCCACTTTCAACAATGGGTAGACTATCTAAACAGAAAGTCAACTAAGAAACATTGGACTTAAATTGTACCATAGACAAAATGGACCTAACAGACATTTACAAAATGTTCCATCCAACAGTTGCAAAACATACATTCTTCTCAATTGCACATGGAACATTCTCCAGGATAGATCATTAGTTAAGTCACAAAACAGCTCTTAAAAAATTTAAGAAGGTAGAGAGTATATCAAATATCTTTTCTGAACACAATGGTATAAAACTAGAAATCAACAACAAGAAAAACTCAGGAAACCTTACAAATATATGGACATTAAAAACATGTTCCTGGCTGGGCGCAGTGGCTCATGCCTATAACCCCAGCACTTTGGGAGGGCGAGGCAGGCGGATCACCTAAGGTCAGGAGTTCGAGACCAGCCTGGCCAACAGGCTGAAACCCCGTCTCTACTAAAAATACAAAAGTTAGCTTGGCCTGGTGGCAGGTACCTGTAATCCCAGCTACTTGGAAGGCTGAGGCAGGAGAATCGCCTGAATTGCCTGACCCTGGGAGGCGGAGGTTGCAGTAAGCCGAGATCATGCCACTGCACTCCAGCCTGGGTGACAGAGGGAGACAATGTCTCAAAAAAAAAAAAAAAGTTTCTAAATAACAAATAGGTCAATGAAGAAATTCAAAGAGAAATTATAAAATTCCTTAAGACAAACAAGAATGGAAACACACCATACCAAAACCTATGGAACATAGCAAAATCAATTCTAAGAGGAAAGTTTATAGCATAAAGGCCTGCATCAAAAAAGAGAAAAAGATTTCTAATAAACAACCTAACAATGCACCTCAAGGAACTAGATAAACAAGAACAAAGTAAACCCAAAGTTGGTAGAAGGAAGAAAATAATAATGCTTAGAGCAGAAATAAATGAAATAGAGACCTAAAAATCCAATTCAAAAGATCAATGAAATGAAGAGTTGTGTTTTTTGAAAAGATAAACAAAATCAATAAACCTTAGCTAGGCTAAGATAAAAAGAGGGCTCAAATAAATAAAACCAGAGAAGATGTTACTACTGACACCACAGGCGTACAAAAGATTGTGAGACTATGATGATCAACTATATACCAACAAATTTGATAACATGGAAGAAATGGATAAATTTCTGGACACGTGCAACCTACCAAGTTTAAATTATTAAGAAATAGAAAATCTAAGCACACCAATAATGAGTGAGAAAATTTAATTAGTAACAAAAAGTCTTCCATCAAAGAAAAATCCAGAATCTGATGGCTTCAGTGCTGAATTCTACTAAGTATTTAATCAATAAATAATACCAATTCTCCTTAAACTATTTCAGAAAATTGAAGAGGAAGGAATAGTTCCAAACTCATTTTATGAAGCTAGCCTTGCCCTAATTCAAAACAAGACAAAGCCACAACAAAAAAAGAAAACTACAGACAAATACCCCTGATAAACATAGATGGAAAAGTTCTCAACAAGATACTAGCAAATCAAATTCTATAGCACATTAAAAAATCCTTCACTACGATTAAGTGGGATTCATCCCAGGGATGCAAGAATGGTTCAATGTATGTAAATCAATAAACGTGATTCACAACATTAACCGAAAGACAAAACCCACATGATCATTTTGATAGATGCAGGAAAAGCATTTGACAAAATTCAACATTCCTGGCCAGGCATGGTGGCTCACACCTGTAATCCCAGCACTTTAGAAGGCCAAGGCAGGAAGATTGCTTGAGCCCAGGAGTTTAAGATCAGCCTAGGCAACATAGTGAGACCCCATCTCTATTTTAATAAATAAATAAAAAAATATATATATATATAAATTCAATATTCATTCCTTCATAATAAAAACTCTCAACAAATTAGATACAGAAGGTATGTACCTCAACACAAGAAAGGCCATATATGACAAACCCACAGCTAACATGATATTGAATAGGGAAAAGCTGAAAGCTTTTCCTCTAAGATCAGGAACAAAGCGAGAAAGTTCACTTTCACCCCTTCTATTCAATGCAACACTGGAAGTCCTAGACAGAGAAATTAGGCAAAAGAAATAAATAAAAGGCATCCAAATTGCAAAGGAGGAACTCAAATTGATACTGTTTGCACACGACACAATCTTATACAGAAAACTCTGAAGACACCACCAAAAAACAGAACTAATAAACAAATTTAATAAAATTGCAGGATATAATATCAACATACAAAAATCAATACCATTTTCATATGCTAATAGTGAGCTATCTAAAAAAAAGAATCAAGGAAACAATTTGGGACTGTAAATTAGTTCAACCATTGTAGAAGACAGTGTGGCGATTCCTCAGGGATCTAGAACTAGAAATACCTTTTGACCCAGCCATCCTATTACTGGGTATATACCCAAAGGATTATAAATCATGCCGCTATAAAGACACATGCACACGTATGTTTATTGCGGCACTATTCACAATAGCAAAGACTTGGAACCAAGCCAAATGTCCAACAACGATAGACTGGATTAAGAAAATGTGGCATATATACACCATGGAATACTATGCAGCCATAAAAAAGGATGAGTTCATGTCCTTTGTAGGCACATGGATGAAACTGGAAACCATCATTCTCAGCAAACTATCACAAGGACAAAAAACCAAACACCGCATGTTCTCACTCATTGGTGGGAATTGAACAATGAGAACAGATGGACACAGGAAGGGGAACATCACACACCGGGGACTGTTGTGGGGTGGGGGGATGGGGGAGGGGTAGCATTAGGAGATATACCTAATGCTAAATGACGAGTTAATGAGTGCAGCACACCAACATGGCATATGTATACATATGTAACAAACCTGCACGTTGTGCACATGTACCCTAAAACTAAAAGTATAATAATAATAAAATTTAAAAAAAAGGAAACAACTTCATTTATAATAGACCCAACAAAACTAAAATATCTAGGACTAAACTTAACCAAGGAGGTGAAAGATCTCTACACTGAAGACAATAAAACATTGATAAAAGATATTGAAGAAGACACAAAAATGAAAAGATATCCTGTGTTCATGGATCAGAAGACTTAATATGGTTTAAATGACCATACTACACAAGACAATCTATAGATTTAATGCAATCTCTATTAAAATACCAATGACATTCTTCACAGAAAGAGAAAAAACAATTCTAAAATTCATAGACAGGCACGGTGGCTCACGCCTGTAATCCCAGCACTTTGGGAGGCCAAGGCAGGTGGATCACAAGGTCAGGAGTTTGAGACCAGCCTGGTCAATATGGTGAAACCCCGTCTCTACTAAAAATACAAAAAAAAAAAATAGCTATGCATGGTGGTGCATGCCTGTAATCCCCAGCTACTCAGGAGGCTGAGGCAGGAGAATTGCTTGAACCCGGGAGGCGGAGGTTGCAGTGAACCAAGATCGTGCCACTGCACTCCAGCCTGGGAGACAGAGTGAGATTCTATCTCAAAAGGTAATAATAATGAAATAAAATAATAAAGTAAAATTCATGTGGAACCACAAAGACCCCAAATAGCCAATGCAATCCTGAGTAAAAATAACAAAGCTAGAGGCATCATACTACCTGCCTCCAAATTATACTATAAAACTATAGTAACCAAAACAATGTGCTACTGGCATAAAAACAGACACATAGACAAGGGAAACAGAATACAAAGCCCAGAAACAACTTCATGCTTCTATGGCCAATTGAGTTTCAACAAACGTGCCAAGAATGCATGTTGAAGAAAAGACAGTCTCTTCAATAAGAGTGCTGGGAAAATTCCATACCTACATGCAGAAGAATGAGACTAGACTTCTACCTCTCACCACAGACAAAAATCAACTCAAAATGGATTAAAGACTTAAATGTAAAAACCCAAACTGCAAAACTCTTAGAAGGAAACACAGGAGAAATGCTTCATGAGATTGGGCTTGGCAAAGATTTCTTAAATAAGGCCTCAAAAGCACAGCAACAAAAGCAAAAAATAGACAAATGGGATTATATCAAACTAAAAAGCTTCTACACAGCAAAGCAACCAATTAACAGACTGAAGAGACAACTTACAGAATGGGAGAAAATATTTGCAAACTGTACTCCCAACAAGAGGTTAATATCCGAAATATATTTTTAAAACTTCAATATGGCTGGGCACAATGGCTCATGCCTATAATTCCAGCAGTTTGGGAGGCAACAAAGGGAGACCCCATTTGTACAAAAAATAAAACTAAATGAATTATCCAGGCACTATGGCATGTGCCTGTAGCCCCAGTGACTCAGGAGACCGAAACAGGAGGATCACTTGAGCCCAGGAGTTCAAGGCTACAGTGAGCTATGATTGCACCACTGCACTCCAGCCTGGGCAACAGAGTGAAATTTTGTCTCTAAATAAATAAATAAAAAGAAAATAACTCAATAGCAATAATAATAATAATGGTCTGACTTTAAAAATGGGCAAAAGACCTTAACAGATGTTCTGAAATAAAAAAGATGCACAAGGCTGGGCACAATGGCTCGCACATGTAATCCCAGCACTTTGGGAGGTCAAGGCAGGAAGATTGCTTGCACTCAGGAATTTGACACCAGCCTGGGCAACAAAGTAAAACCTTGCCTCTACAAAAAACTTAAAAAATTAGCCAGGTGTGGTGGTATGTGCCTATGACTACTTGATAAACTGAGGTGGGAGGATCACTTGAGCCCAGGAGGTCAAGGCTTCAGTCATTCATGTTCATGCCACTGCACTCCAGCCTGGGCAACAGAGACGTTGTCTCAAAAAAAAAAAAAAAAAGATACACAAATGCCATGATGGGTGTATGAAAAAAAAATGTTCAACAATACTAATCACCAGGAAAATGTAAATCAAAATCACAATGAGATATTTTCTCACTCCAGTTAGAACAGTTACTATAAAAAGACAAAAGAAAACAAGTGTTGGGAAGGATGTGGAGAAAAGGGAACTCTTATGCACTGTTGGTGGGATTATAAATGACTACAGCCATTATGGAAAACATTATGGAGGTTCCTCAAAAAATTAAAAATAGAATAATAAAGAATAATAAAACATGTATTCTTGGCACGTTTGTTGAAACTTAATTGGCCATAGAACCATATAATCCAGCAATCCCACTGCTAAATACATATTCAAAGGAAATGAAATCAGTATGTTGAAGAGATATCTGCAGTCCATGTTTATTGCGGCACTATTTACAATAGCCAAGATATGGAATCAATCTAAGTTTCCTACAATGAATGAATAGATATATATTTATATCCCATTTTCTTTATCCATTCATTCTTTTTATGGCTTAATAGTATACCATTATATATAATGCATATATATAATGGATATAGTATATTCATTCAATGAATTGTATACCATTATATATATATATAATTCCACATAATATTATATATATAATGGTATACTATTCAGCCATAAAAAATAATGAAATCCCGTCATTTTGACTACATGAATGAAACTGGAAGACACCATATTAAGTGAAATAAGCCAGATACAGAAAGACAAATACTGCATGATCTCATTATTATGTGGAACATAATAAAACAATGTTGAAATCATAGAAGTAGAGAGTAGAATAGTGATTATCAGAGACTGTGAAGATGTGGGGGGAAAAGAGGATGGCGAGAGGTGGATCAATAGGTGCAAAGTTACATTAAATAGGAGGAATTAGTTCTGGGTTCTATTGCACAGTAGAGGAACTACGGTTAACAGTAAGGTATTGTATATGACAAAATAGCTAGAGGATAAGCTTCTGAATGTTTTCAGCATAAAGAGTTGATAAATGCATGAGATGATGAATATGCTAACTACCCTGATTTTATCGTTATACTACATATACATGTATCAAAACATCAAACTGTACTCCATAAATATGTACAATTATAATGTGTCCATTTAAAAAAAAATAAAATATTGTCCTCAGAAACCTGTTGTACTCAGAAAGGAGGGATCTTTGCTCGCTATTGTTCACATTTATGACTATAAGCATATTCTTCAGAATCAGTTTGATTGTCACTCAGGAAAGCAGAAAGAGGCCATTAGGAGAGCATGTGCAGAAAAAAGGGCTGCTTGATGAAGCCAGGCCAGCAGACACCTGGGCAGCAGGGATGCCGCCTGGGCCTTCTAGACTGCAGAAAGGAAAAGACTGACTACAACTGGCCCTGCTTCACCAGTCTCCTCCTTACTGCTGTGGAAGATGTAAGCTGATTGAAAACGAGGAAGGTAAAAAGGGAATTGGAAAATGGGAAAAATCTCCACGCCTGTACCCAGATTTTCATCTTACAGCAGCCTGTACAGCAAGTCTACCTTACACATAAGTAAAATATGTACCAACTACAACTGTGCTTCCCAGTCAACAGTTTTCAAATCCCTAAAAGCTTAAAGGCAATAGTAGCATCAATTCTGTTTCTATTTTTCAAGAATAACAATGCATGAAATATCTACATCATTTTCCCAGTGAAACTGAATGGTGTGAGAGCGTGGGGGTTTATGTCAAATGAGCAAGATCAATAGCGAATACTGTTGCTGAAGTCCTAGTTACCTCATCATTTATCATTTAGCTAAAACCAATAGCTACCTTGAGGATTTGACTATTATGCAACTTTGGGTGTTTTCATTCTTATTCAGGTATTATTTAATTTATAACTAAATACTAGTCATTAAAAAAAAGAATTAGGAACAAGATGGTGGAATGGAAGACTCCACCAATTGTGTCCCCCACTGCAAGGACACCAATCTAACAGCTATCTACACAACAAAACACTTTCATAAGAAACAAAAATCAGGTGAGCACTCACAGTACCTAGTTTTAACTTTGTGAAAGAGACACTGAAGAGATAGAAAAAAACAGGCTTGAATCACCAATGCCATCCCTCCCTGAGCAGTGGCGTGGGGTGGAGAGCAGTTCTGTTTGCTGGGGGAGGGAGAGCTGGCAGTTGTGAGACACTGAACTCAGTGTTGTCCTGTTATAGCAGAAAGGAACACCAGACCAAACTCAACTGATGCCCCCCCAAGGAGAGACTATTTAAACCAGCTCTACCCAGGGTGCATTCATTGATCCCAGTGGTTGGAACTTGAATTCCCACAAGCATCACCACCTGCAAGCCTTGCCACCACAGGCTAAAGTGCCCTGGGGCTCTAAATAAATTTGAAAGGCAATCTAGGCCACAAGGACTACAACACCTAGGTGAATCCTAGGGCTTAACCAGGCCCAGAGACAGTGGACTGGTGGGGCACATGACCTACTGAGACACCAGCTGGGGCAGCTAAGGGAGTGCTGGCACCACCCCTCCGCTAACCCTAGGCTGCAAATCTCCTAACTCCAAAAGATACCTCTTCCTTCACACCTGAGGAAAGGAGAGGCAAGAATGGGCCACATCTTGGATACCAGCTCAGCCACAGGAGAATAGGGCATGGGGCAGAGTCACGAGGCCTCATTTCCAGGCCCTACCTCCCAGACATTTCTAGACACACCTTGGGCTAGAAGGGAATCTGCTCCTTGAAGGGAAGGACCCAGTGCTGGCAACATTTATCACCTGCTAACCAAAGAGCCCTCAGACCCTAAATAAACAGCAGCAATACCCAGGTACTACATTGAGGGGCTGAGGTGAGCCTCTGAGACTTGCTGGCTTCAGGTGAGACACAGCATATTATGAGCTGAGTGTCCACGGGCCAAAACTCCTTTTGCTTCAGAAAAGCAGAGGGAAAAGTAAGGGGGACTTTGTCTTGGATCTTAGGTATCAGCCCAGCCATGGGAGTTAGAGCACCAAGCAGTCTCTTGGCATCCCAGATTCTAGGATTTCGCTCTTGAACAGCATTTCTGGACCTGCCATGGGCCAGAGGGGAGCCCCCTGCCCCAAAATGTGAGTACCAGGCCAGGGAGTATTCACCACAAGCTGACCTAACAGCCCTCGGTCCTTAAGGGAACATTGGCAGCAGTCTGCTGGTACTCCCTGTGGCCTTTGGTGGTGGTGCCCATACAGTGAGGCTCCTCTGCCTTTGGAAAGGGGAGGAAAGGGTGGGAAGGATTACATCTTCTGGTTTGAGTACCAGCTCAATTGTAGTACAATAGAACACTAGGTAGGCTTCTAAGGTTTTTGACTGTAGTCCCTGGCTCCAGGATGACACTTCTAGACTTGCCTGGGGTCTTGGGGAACTCACTACCCTGGAGGAAAGGACACAGGCCTGGCTGGCTTTACTACCTGATGATTTTAGAGCCCCACAGCTTGAGTGAACATAGGCAGTAGCAAAGGAGTAGTTACAGCAGGCCTTGGGCAAGACCCAGTGCTGCAGTGGCTTCAGGTCAGACCCAGTGCAGTCATAGGTGGTGGCCACAGATATGCTTGTGTCACTACACCCCCAGGTTCAAGTGGCTCAGAACAGAGACAGATTCTGTTTGTATGAGAGATAGTAACGGAAAATAAAAAGTTTCTGCCTGGTAATCCAGAGAATTTTGTCAGATCTTGCCCAAGACCATCAAGGCAGTACCTCTACGAGTCTGCAAGAACCACAGTGTTACTGGGTTCTGGGTGCTCCCTAATGCAGATACAGCTTACACAACAGCCAAGTTATTCTGAATATCTGGAAAGCTTTCCCAAGAAGGATGAGTACAAAGAAGCCCAGACTATGAAGACTACAATAAATATCTAACTCCTCAATGCCCAGACACTGAATAACATCTACAAGTATTAAAACAATCCAGAAAAGTATGACCTCACTAGATGAACTAAATAAGTTACCAGGGACCAATCCTGGAGAGACAGAGATATGTAGCCTTTCAGAAAGAGAACTCAAAATAGCTGTTTTGAGGAAACACAGAAATTTAAGAGGACACAGAGAAGGAATTCAGAAGTCTATCAGATAAATTTAACTAAAAGATTAAAATAATCAAAAAGAATTAGCCAGAAATTCTGAGCTGAAAAACGCAATTGGCATATTGAATAATGCATCAGAGTCTTTTAATAGCAGAACTGATCAAGCAGAAGAAAGAATTAGTGAACTTGAAGATAGGTTGAAAATACACAGCCAGAGGAGATAAAATAAAAAAGAATAAAAAACAATGAATCATGTCTACAGGACTCAGAAAATAGTCTGAAAATGGCAAATCTAAGAGTTACTAGCATTAAAGAGGAGGTAGAGAAAGAGATAGGGGTAGAAAGTTTATTTAAAGGGATAGTAAGAGAGAATTTCCCCAACCTAGAGAAAGATATCAATATCTAAATACAAGAAAGTTATAGAACACCAAGCAGATTTAATCCAAAGAAAACTACATTAAGGCATTTAATAACCAAACTCCAAAAGATCAAGGATAAAGGATCCTAAAAGCAGCAAGAGAAAAGAGACAAATAACATATAATGGACCTCCAATACATATAGCAGCAAGCTTTTCAGAAACCTAACAGGCCAGGAGAGAGTGGAATGAAACATTTAAAATATTGAAGGAACAAAACCTTAATCCTATGTATTAGTCCATTTTCATGCTGCTGTTAAGAAATACCCAAGACTGGGTAATTTATAAAAGAAAGAAGTTTAATTGCCTCACAGTTGCACATGGCAGGGGAGGCGTCAGGAAACTTACAATCATGGCAGGAGGTGAAGGGGAAGCAAGCACTTTCTTCACAAGGCAGCAGGAGAGAGAAAAGCAAAGTAGGAACTTCCAAACACTTATCAAGCTATCATATCACATGGGAACTTATTCACTATCATAAGAAAAACATGGAGGCTACCACTCCCATGATTCAGTTACCTTCCACCAGTTCCCTCCCTCAATACCTGCGGATTACACTTTGAGATGAGATTTGGGTGGGAACACAGAGCCAAACCATATAATTCCATCCCTGGTCCCTCACAAATTTTGTGTCCTCATATCTCAAAACACAGTCATGCCTTCCTAACAGTCCCCCAAAATGTAAACTCATTCCAGCATTAACCCAGAAGTCCAAGTCCAAAGTCTCATCTGAGACAAGGCAATTCCCTTCCACCTAGGAGTCTGTAAAATCAAAAGCAAGTTAGTTATCTCCAAGACACAATGGAGGTACAGGCATTGGATAAGTGCTCCCATTCCAAATGGGAGAAATTGTCCAAAACAATTTCTTGCAAAGGGGCACAGGCCCCCATGCAAGTCCAAAATCCAGGGGGCAGTCATTAAATCTTAAAGCTCCAAAATGATATTCTTTGAATCCATGTCTCATATCCAGGGCATGCTGATGCAAGGGGTGGGCTCCCACAGCCTTGGGCAGCTCCTTCATGGGCTGATGTTGAGTGCTTGCAGTTTTTCCAGATGTACAGTGCAAATTGTTGGTGGGTCTACCATTTTAGCATCTGGAGGGTGGTGGCCTCACAGCTTCACTAGGCAGTGCCCCAGTGGAGACTCTGTGTGGGGGCTTCAACCCCAGACTTCCCTTCTGCACTGCCCTAGAAGAGGTTCTCCATGAGGGCTCTGCCCCTGCAACAGACTTCTGCCTAGACATCCAGGCATTTCCATACATCCTCTGAAATCTAAGTGGAGATTCCCAGACCTCAATACTTGACTTCTGTGCACCTGCAGGCCCAACACCATGTGGAAGCCACCAAGGCTTTGGGCTTGCATCCTCTAAAGCAATGGCCCAAGCTGTACCTTGGCCCCTTTTAGCCATGGCTGGAGCTGGAGTGGCTGGGACACAGGGAACCAAATCCCAAGGATACACACAGGAGCAGGGTCCTGGGCTCAGCCCACAAAACCATTTTTTCCTCCTAGGCCTCTGGGCCTCTGATGGGAGGGGCTGCTGCCAAGATCTCTGACATGCCCTGGAAACATTTTCCCTATGTCTTGGGGATTAACATTCATCTCCTCATTACTCATGCAAATTTCTGCAGCCAGCTTGAACTTCTACCCAGAAAATGTGTTTTCCTTTTCTATTGCATTGTCAGGCTGCAAATTTTCCAAATCTTATGCTCTGCATCCCTTTTAAACATATGTTCCTCATCTCCATCTGAGACCACCTCATCCTGGACTTCATTGTCCATATCACTATCAGCATTTTGGTCAAAACCATTCAACAAGTCTCTAGGAAGTTCGAAACTTTCCCACATCTTTCTGTCTTCTTCTGAGCCATGCAAACTGTTCCAACCTCTACCTGTTACTCATTTCCAAAGTCACTTCCACATTTTCAGGTATCTTTATAGTAGTACCCCAAACTCTTGGTACCAATTAATTGTATTAGTCTGTTCGCATGCTGCTATAAAGAAATATCTGAGAAATATCTGATTTTTAAAGGAAAGAGGTTTAATTGACTCACAGTTCCACATGGTGGGGGAAACCTCAGGAAACTTATAGTCATGGCAGGAGGCAAAGGGGAAGCAAGCATTTTATTCACAAGGCAGCAGGGGAAAGAAGAGTAAAGGAAGAACTTCCAAACACTTATAAAACCATCAGATCTCATGAGAACTCATTCACTATCATGAGAACAGCATGGGAGAAACCACCCCCATGAACAAATCACCTTCTACCAGGTCCCTCCCTCAACACATGGGGATTACAATTTGAGATGAGATGTGGGTGGGGACACAGGGCCAAACCATAACACCCTAGAACAACATACTTAGCAAAAATATTCTTCAAACATGAAGGAGAAATAAAAACTTTTCCAGACAAACAAAAGCTGAGAGATTTCATCAACACCAGACCAGTCCTGCAAGAAATGCTAAAGAAAGTACTTTAATCAGAAAGAAAATGATGTTAATGAGCAATAAGTAGTCACCTGAAGGTACAAAACTCACTGGTAATACTAAGTACACAGAAAAACACAGAACATTATAACACTGTACCTATAGTGTGTAAACTACTCTTATCCTAGGTTGAAAGGCTAAACAATTAACCAAAAATAACAACTACAACAACTTTTCAAGACCTAGATAGTACAAAAAGAATGGAGATCCCAGAAATAACACCACACACCTACAAGCATCTGATCTTCGACAAAGCTGACAAAAACAAGCAATGTGAAAAGGACTCACTGTTTAATAAATGGTGCTGGGATAATTGGCTAGCCATATGCAGAAAATTGAAACCAGAACCCTTCCTTACACTATATACAAAAATCAACTCAAGATAGATTAAACACTTAAATGTAAAACCCAAATGATAAAAGCCCTGGAAGACAACCTAGGAAATACCATTCTGGACATAAGAATTGGCAAACACTTCACGATAAAGACACCAAATGCAATTGCAACAAAAACAAAAATTGACAAACGGAATCTAATTAAACTAAACAGTTTCTGCACAGCAAAAGAAACTATCAACAGAGTAAACAGACAACTTACAGAATGGGAAAAGATTTGCAAACTATGCATCTGACAAAAATCTAATGTCCATCATCTTTAAGGAACTTCAACAAGTTTACAAGAAAAAAACAAACAACCTCTTTAAAAAGTGGGCAAAGAACATGAACAGATACTTTTCAAAAGAAGACATACATGTGGCTAACGAGCATGTGCAAAAGGGCTCAATATCACTGATCATTAGAGAAATGCAAATTAAAACTACAATGTGATACCTTCTCACACCACTCAGAATGGCTACTATTAAAAAGTTGAAAAATAACAGGTGCTGGCAAGGTGGTAGAGAAAAGGAAACACTTGTTGGTGGGAGTGTAAATTAGTTCAACCATTGTGGAAAGCTGTGAGGCAATTCCTCAAAGAGCTAAAAACAGAACTATCATTCGACTGAGCAATCAATTACTGGGTATATACCTGAAGGAATATAAATCATTCTACCATAAAAACATACACACATGAGTGTTCACTGCAGCACTATTCACAATAGCAAAGACTTGGAACCAACCTAAATGCTCATCATGACAGATTGGATAAAGAAAATGTTGTACATATACACTACAGAATACTATGTAGCTATAAAAAAGAATGAGGTCATGTTTTTTGCAGGAACCTGGATGGGGCTGGAGGCCATTGTCCTTAGCAAACTAACACAGGAACAGAAAACCAAATACTGCATGTTCTCACTTATAAGTGGGAGCTGAATACTGAGTACACTTAGACACAAAGGAACAAAGACACTAGGGCCTACTTGTGGGTGGAGGGTGGGAGGAGGGAGAGGATCAGAAAAAAATAACTATTGGGTACTAGGCTTAGTACCTAGGTGAGAAAATCATCTGTACATTAAACCCCCATGACACAAGTTTATATAATAAACATGCACATGTATCCCTGAATCTAAAATAAAAGTTTTTTTTTAAGAAATTAGTATAGTGAAATAAAACAAAGTGATCTTTAGGATCAAAAAAAAGTGGAAACAAAAAAAGTTAAAAAGCAGGGGATGAAGCTAAGGTGTAGAGTTTTTACTGGTTTTCATTTTGCTTGTTTGTTTATTTGCTTGCTTGTGCAAACAGTGTTAAGCTGTTATCAGCTTAAAATAATGGGTTATAACATAGTATTTACAAGCCTCATGGTAACCTCAAACCAAAAAACATACAATGGATGCACAAAATCATATCACCAGAGAAAATCGCGTTCATTAAGAGGAAGACAGGAATGAAAGAAAGACCACAAAACAACCAGAAAATAACTAACAAAATGGCAGGAGTAAGTTCTTACTTACCAATAGTAACACTGAATGTAAACGTACTAACTCTCCAATCAAAGACATAGAGTGGCTGAATGGATTTAAAAAACATGATCAATTTATCTGTTGCATACACAAAACACACTTCACCTATAAAGACACATATAGACTATAGATAAGAAGATTAAAAGAGATATTCCATGCCAATAGAAACCAAAAAAAGAGCAGAAGTAGCTGTATGTATATCTGACAAAATAGATTTTGACATAAAAACTATAAGAAGAGACAAAGAAAGTCACTATATAATAATAAAGGTATCAACCCATCAACAGGATATAACAACTTTAAACATACATGCAACCAACACTGGAGCACCCAAATGTATAAAGTAAATATTATTAGAGCTAAAGAGAGAGAGACTGACCCCAGTAAAATAATAGCTGGAGACTTCAACACTCCACTTTCAGCATTGGACAGATCTTGCAGAAAGAAAATCATGAAAGAAACATCAGACTTAATCTGCACTATAGACCAAATGAATCTGATAGATATTTATAGAACATTTCATCCACAGAGTACACATTCTTTCCCTCAGCACATGGATCATTCTCAAGGATAGACCATATGTTAGGTCACAAAACACATCTTAAAAGACTCAAAAAACTGAAATAACATCAAGTATCTTCTCTGACCATAATGGAATAAAACTAGAATTAATAACAAGAGAAACTTTGGAAACTATACAAATACATGGGAATTAAAAAATATGCTTCTGAATGACAAGTAAGCCAATGAAGAAATTAAGAAGGAAATTTTAAATTTTCTTGAGGCAAATGATATTGGAAACACAACATACCAAAACCCATGGGATACAACAAAAAGCAGTATTAAGAGGAAAGTTTATAGCTAAAAGTACCTATATCAAAAAAGAAGGAAAATTTCAAATAAATCATCTAATGATGCATATTAAAAAATTAGAAAAGCAAGTGAAAAACAAACCCAAAATTAGTAGAAGAAAAGAAATAAAGATCAGATCAGAAATAAATGAAGTTGAAATTTAAAAAAAAAATACAAAAGATCAATGAAACAAAAAGTTGTTTTTTTGAAAAGTTAAACAAAATTGACAAACCTTTAGCCAGACTGAGAAAAAACAAGAGAAGATCCAAATAAATAAAATCTGAGATGAAAAAAGAGACATTATGACTGATAACACAGAAACGCAAAGGATCATTATTGGCTACTGTGAGCAGTATTTGCCAATAAATTATAAAATCTAGGAGACATGGACAAATTCCTAGATACATACAACCTACTAAAGTGAACCATGAAGAAATCCAAAACCTGAACAGACCAATAACAAGTAACAAGATTGAAGGACTAATAAAAACTCTCCCAGCAAAGAAAAGCCCAGGACCTGATGGTTTCACTGTTGATTTCTACCAAACATTTAAAGAAGAACTAATGGCAGTCCTACTCAAACTATTCCAAAAAATAGAAGAAGGGGGAATACTTCCAAACTAATTGTATGAGGCCAGAATTACCCCAATACCAAAACCAGACAAGAACAAATCAAAGAAAGAAAACTACAGGCCAATATCTCTGATGAATATTGATGAAAAATCCTCAACAATATACTAGCAAACAGAATTCAGCAATGCATTTAAAAGATCATTCATCATGACCAAGCGGGATTTATCCCTGGGATGCAAAGATGGTTCAACACATTCAAATCAGTCAATGTAATATGTCATATCAAAAGAATGAATAAAAATCATATGATTATTTCATTCGATGCTGAAAAATCAGATGGAAAATTTTACCATCACTACATGATAAAACCCCTCAAAAACTGGGTATAGGAACATACCTCCACATAAGCACCATATTCAACAGACCTGCAGCTACTATTATACTGAATGGGGAAAAATTGAAAGCATTTTCTCTAAGATCAGGAACAAGAAAAAGATGCCCACTTTTATCACTGTTATTCTACATCCAATGCAAAGATCAGACAAGAGAAAAAAATAAAAAGCATCCAAATTGGAAAAGAAGAAATCAAATTATCCTTGTTTGCAGATGAAATGATCTTATATTTGGAAAAACCTAAAGACTCTACCAAAAAAACAATTAGAACTGATTAACAAATTCAGTAAAGTTGCAGGATACAAAATCAACATACAAAAATTGGTAGCATTTCTATATGCCAACAGTGAACAATCTGAAAAAGAAATTTTTAAGAAATCTCATTTACAATAGCCACAAATAAAATTAAATACCTAGGAATTAACCAAAGAAGTGAAAAATATCTATAATGAAAACTATGAAAAAAGAAGAAAACTATGAAACATTGATGAAAGAAATTGAAGAGGACACAAAAAAATGAAAATATATTTCATGTTCATGGACTGAAAAATCAAAAGTCCATACTACCCAAAGTAATCTACAAATGCAGTGCAATCACTATCAAAATACCGATGATATTCTTCACAGAAATAGAAAAAACAATCCTAAAATGTACATGGAACCACACAAGTCCCAGAGCTATCCTAAGCAAAAAGAACAAAACTGAAGGAATCACATTACCTGACTTCAATTATACTACAGAGCTATAGTAACCAAAACAGTATGGTACTGGCACAAAAACAAACACATAAACCAATGGCACAGAATGGAGAGCCCAGAAACAAATCCACACATCTACAGCAAACTCATTTTTGACAAGGGTGCCAAGAACACACACTGGGGAAAAGACAATGTCCTGAATAAATGGTGCTGGTAAAATTGGATATCCACATGCAAAAGAATGAAACTAGATTCCTATCTCTTACCATATACAAAAATCAAACCAAAATGGAAGAAAGACTTACATCAAAGACCTTAAACGATGAAACTACTACAAGAAAACACTGGAGAAAATCTCTAGGACATTGACCTGAGCAAAACTTTCTTGAGCAATACCCTGTAAGCACAGGCAACCAAAGCAAAAATGCACAAATGGGATCACATCAAGTTAAAAAGTGGTTTCCTTCTGCACAGCAAAGGAAACAATCAACAAGGTGAAGAGACAACCCATGGAATGGGAGAAAATATTTGCAAACTACCCATCTGACAAGTGATTAATAACAAGAATATATAAGGAGCTCAAACAATTCTATAAGAAAAAAATCTAATAATCCAATCAAAACTGGGGAAAAGATTTGAATAGTCATTTCTCAAAAGAAGACATACAAATGGAAAACAGGCATATGAAAAAGTGCTCAATATCATTGATCATTAGAGAAATGTAAGTCAAAATTACAATGAGATATCAACTCATCCCAGTTAAAATGGCTTATATCCAAAAGATAGGCAACACCAAGTGCTAGCCAGGATGTGGAGAAAGGAGAATTCTTGCACACTGTTGGTGGGAATGCAATTTAGTACAACCACTATGGAGAACAGTTTGGAGGTTCCTTAAAAAACTAAAAATTGAGCTATCATATGATCCAGCAATCCCACTGCAGGCTATATAACAAAAAGAAAAAAAATCAGTATATTGAAGAGATATCTGCACTCCTATGTTTGTTGCCACACTGTTCACAACAGCCAAAATTTGGAAACAATCCGTTTCCATCAACAGACGAATGAACAAAGAAAATGTGGTACATATACACAATGGAGTACTCCTGTCCTTTGCAATAGTACTCACAATACACAATAGTACTCCTGTCCTTTGCAACAACATGGATGGAACTGGAGATCATTATGTTAAGTGAAATAAGCCAGGCACAAAAAGACAAACATCACATTTTCTCACTTATTTGTGGGCTCTAAGAATCAAAACAATTGAACTTAAGGAGACAGTAGAAGGGTGATTACCAGGGACTGGAAATGCAGTGAGGGGGTAGGTGGGAGCAAGTGATAGTTAATGGGTAAAAAAGAAAAAAGAAAGAATGAGTAAGACTGGCTTGGCACGGTGGCTTATGCCTGTAATTCCAGCACTTTGGGAGGCCAAGGCGGGCAGATCACCTGAGATCAACAGTTCAAGACCAGCCTGGCCAACATGGTGAAAGCCCGTCTCTACTAAAAATACAAAAATTAGCTGGGTGTAGTGGCATGCACCTATAATCCCAGCTACTCAGGAGGCTGAGGCAGGAGAATCACTTGAACCCAGGAGGCAGAGGTTGTGGTGAGCCGATATGGTGCCATTGCACTCCAGCCTGGGTGACAAGAGCAAAACTAAAAAAAAAAAAAAAAAAAAAAAAAACAACGAATGAATGAGACCTACTCTTTGATAGTACAACAGGGTGAATATAGTCAGTGATAATTTAATTTTAGATTTTAAAATAACTAAAAGAGTATAATAGGACTCTTTGTAACACAAAGGATAAATGCTTGAAGGGATGGATACCCCATTCTCCATATGATTATTATACGTTGCATGCCTGTATCAAAACATCTAATATACCTCATAAACATATACACCTACTATATACCCACAAAAATTAAAAATTAAAAAAATTATAAGGGACACTACCATTATATACAGCAAATTAATATGAGGAGCATAGTAATAAAAATATTTCAGTGAATTCTATGAAGATTTTTTTACCTAATCAATAAGTTGCAACCATCTGCTTATAATTCTCAAATAGCACATTAAGGTGTCTCTAAAACTTAAAAAAAATCAAAAGGATAAAATATTGTACTTACTAATTTGTTTTTGAACTTGTAAGAAATAAAGGCTGACCGAACTATAAATAAAGGCTGACCACACTATAAAGGTGCTCTTTAGATTTGAAAGCTTATAGAAAGCAACCAAAAGTATTCTTTCTTATTAGGTGAAGTAAATTAAATTATTTTAAATACAAAATACAAAAAAAAAGTCATAAAAGTAGTTTTATGTATTTGATGCTTTAAAATTAAGTTAGCCCCATGACACACAATGTACCTATATAACAAACCTGCACATGTACCCCTGAATCTAAAATAAAAGTTAAAATAATAAAAAATAATAATAAAATTAAGTTAGACTTTTTATATTTATTAGTTTGCCAGTAAATAATCTTTTGTCACATAAAGTTATCCACATGTACATACATATTTTAAAACGTCAAAATTTGTCTTTATAATATGAAGCCATTTGAGTTGAATCTTAGATGAATTTTGTAATCCAAATTTTAAAAATATACTCTTCTAAATAAAAACATTCTGCTTAAAACCATTTCTGTGGAATATCCATGCAAAAACAACAACAAAAAATTTTTTTAATTTTAAGGAGATTTGCCAGTTTATAAGTGACTGTGAAAGAGATTCATAAGTCAAAAGTATTTGGAAGACAGTGGTTAATAAAGCTGATGTCCAGAGTTCCACAGACCCCACCAAAACTGCAGGCCACAGTCTGAAAGCCCCTTAACAATGAAAACCATCAGCATTACTGTGGAGATCAAGAATAGGAAATGTGGAATC
The DNA here is from genome assembly GCF_000001405.40 of Homo sapiens. NCBI lineage: Eukaryota > Metazoa > Chordata > Mammalia > Primates > Hominidae > Homo > Homo sapiens. Next base: position 99,713,955 of record NC_000006.12, on the reverse strand, counting down.
AGGCAGAGTTGGGTTCTAATTACACTACCTAAGCTTTAAATTCTTCTAAATGTATAAAATGGCCAGGCATGGTGGCTCATGCCTATAATCCCAGCACTTTGGGAGGTCGAGATGGGAGGTCCTGCTTGAGCGCAGGAGTTTGAGACCAGCCTGGGCAACATGACAAAACCTGGTCTCTATGAAAAATAAATAATAAAAATAATAATAATAATTAGCCAGGCACAGTAGCATGTGCCTGTAGTCCCAGCTACTTGGGAGGCCAAAGAGGGAGGGTTGCTTGAGCCAGGGAAGTGAAGGTTGTAGTGAACTCAGATCACACCACTGCACTCCATCCTGGGTGAAAGAGTAAGATTTTGTCTCAAAAAAGAAAAAGTAGATAAATAAATAAAGGTATAAAATGAAGATAATAGTGCCTCCTTCTCAAGATTGCTATGCCAATTAAATCAGGTAACAAATGGAAGTGACTAGCACAGTGATTAGGCATATGGTCAGCATTCAATAAATTACAGAGGTAATATGTGTAACATTTATACATGTAAATATATAACACCAGGAGAAGAAACGCACTAACTTGAATTCTCACTAAGCTCTAAGTAACTGATATCAGCAACTTTACTGAGAAGAGAAGGCAGAAAAGTAAAAGAGAAAGATTACTCATAAGAAAGAAGAGGCACAAACATTGAAAACAAAATAGACAAAAAACATACTTTTGCCTAACGTGTTTAGGATAAACAAAATATCTACAAATATCACAAATACACTTGTCTCCCTCTAAATCAGCAAGCACCTGGGGACATGACAATAAATAAGCAACAACTTTCAGGAAGTTGCTGCCATGTATATTTAATACTAACTAAATATAGTCACAGAACCATGGGGTAATGCAGCTGAAGGGACCCAAGAGAGGACCTAAGCAGCTCCACCATTTTGCAAAACACACAATAAAGAACCTAGGTGATCTGTCCAAGGTCATACTCAATTAGAGACAGAGGCAAAACTTGAATCAGAATTTCTAGTTCAGAGCTCTTTCTTGTTTGCAAAAAATAGCCTTTGTGTGTTTGTGACAGAAAAGGAGAGGTGGTAGGACAGCATCTGGGACATACAAGGCAAGGTTTCCAACACTGCAAACAAAATGCACTTGGCTAGCAATAAGATTGAAGATTGACAAGTCAGCAAGGCTTTTCTCTAGGGACAGATAACATGCCGCATTCTTCCTCCTAGAAGAGGCAGTTGGAGTAAAACATCCCTGCTGTCAAAATGACGACTGTTTTCAAATTCATTTCCCCCACCTACCCTTCAGAATGGAAATGAGCCCAGATCCCTTCCTCAGAACAGTTAAGCACAGAATCATCACTCGAATGGAGCAAGCAGCTTGCAGAATGGCTGCAATGAGTTGCTTCCCCAGTAAATAGATTGAACATTATTGCTCTACTTCATACCCTCAATGGAACTCCGTCTCATGAATGGAATGGTATATTATAACTGGCATAAGATAGGCCACCACTTTAGTTACAACACAGGATTATCCAAATAAACAAGCATTAATCATGCACATTATGTAGAGCATAATGCTTCAGAGAGCTTCTGCAAACAGCTCCAAATGAACTCGACCAAATTATACCATCTGACAGCTGTTCCGTGACCTGTGGGAAATGAGTTGGTGGTCTCAGTCCAGTTCCTAGTGGACAGGTGTCCGAAGCACAAAAACTACTCTAACAATTGGGCCTAATTAGCAACCTGGTTGTTGCAGCCGCAATAAAACCTGGAGCCCATGTCACCGCCATGCTGTTGGAGGCTTGTCTTGCCATCAGGTGGCCATGAGCCCAAGGCTTAGTACAGAAACGCTCACAATGGCACCTGCACAAAATGTCGTTGCTTCAGGAGAAACAGGGAACTGTGTCCAGGACTGGCTCTCTGTCTCCCACCTGACTCCCCTAAGCCAGACTACCAAGACATCAGAGATACAAATAGAGAGTTCTGGTTACTATTTTAATCCATGGAAGGAACATGCCTGTAACACTTAAAATGTTATGAATGCCCACTTTTCATAAGAACAATATGCTCATCTATAACAACAACAACAAAAACAGGTTGCCCTGAATGCCAAATCATTTTCAAAATGTCTCCTTTTACCTCTTTGCCCTAACTGAAAGCTGACAACTGCTTCTGAGAACACTGCCTCTCCTGTAGCCCTCCCAAGAGTGCAGTTATTTTCTCCAAAGCTCTACATACCTCACTAACAGAAAAAAAAAGAAGTATTATTGTTCCTAAATGTCACTGCTAGGCCATTCCTTCCCTGCCCTTGCAAACTTCTTGTTCTTTGACACCCAAAGCATTCAGCTCTGCCCCTATCAACCTTCCATTCAACTCTTTTGTTCAGAAAAAAATGTTAACTCATGGCTTACAGTCTTCTTCCCTTATCCTCTTTCTGATATCATCAGTGGTGATTTCAACACCCACTTGGGTAAACCATAAATATTCTGGCCTCTAACTTTCTTATCTTCCTCATCCTAGTGATCTTTTTTTCCTCAATACTACAGCCACCCACTCTAATGGCTGTACACCAGACATTGTCATTAACAGAAACTGTGCACTTCAAAAAATCTTAATACAAATACTACTCCCTTGGCCTACAGCCAGTCATTCCCAGCTCATTTTGTTACAGCTCTCCTCTTTACAACTCTTCTGCCACATGCAGACCAATCAGTTGGCCTACAGCTTTCTTACTGTTCACTGACCTCCCTGGGAGCCACCCCGCCCCCCGTCCCACTTTCTCATCTCTCACCTTTCTTGGTCTCTCGTCTGTCTTCATCCTTTCACCTAAATTAACATTAATTCCTGTCAATTTTTTCTCCAAATCATATTCACTTCTTATTCACCATTTAACCCCAGTTGCTGCCTTAGCAATATAAATTCAATCATATTTCCTGAATGAGTGAAGCATTAGAAGTAAATGCTGGAGGCCGGGCATGGTGGCTCACGCCTGTAATCCCAGCACTTTGGGAGGCCGAAGCAGGTTGATCAACTGAGGTCAGGAGTTCGAGACTAGCCTGGCCAACATGGTGAAACCCCATCTCTACTAAAAATAGAAAAAAAATAGGCGGGCATGGTGGCGGGCACCTGTAATCTCAGGTACTTGGGAGGTTGAGACAGGAGAATCACTTGAACCTGGGAGGCAGAGGTTGCAGTGAGCTGAGATCATGCCACTGCACTCCAGCCTGGGTGACAGAGCGAGACTCTACCTCAGAAAAAAAAAAAGAAGTAAATGCTGGAGAGTTTCACTATTGCTTAGACTACAGAAACACAAGATAAGGTCACTTCTACACTAACAGTGTGGAAAAAATTGATAATCTACAAAAACATAACTTTTGTTTATCCCAACAAGAGATCAGAGGTTGCAATTAAAGCAAACTGAATTCCAAAGAAGAACAAACCCCAACAAAGAGAAACAGAACACATGAACGATTTTACCTTTGGCAGAGCATAGGAGAGAACTGCCACATAAATCGGTAAGAATTCAGCAAAGGCCTGGCAAGGTGGCTCACTCCTGTAATCCTAACACTTTGGGAGACCCAAGCAGGTGGATTGCTTAAGCTCAGGACTTCAAGACCAGCCTGGGCAACATGGCAAAACCCCATCTCTGCAAAAAATACAAAAAATTAGCTGAGTGTGGTGGTGTGTCCTGTAGTCCCAGCTACTCAGGAGGCTGAGGTGAGAGGATGGCTTGAGAGTAGGAGGCAGAGGTTGCTGTGAACCAAGATCATGCCAACGCACTCCAGCCTGGGTGAAAGAGCCATTATCTCAAAAAAAAAAAAAAAAAAAGAATTTAGCTAAAATCTTAATTCATAAAGGCCAAGTAAGTATGGATTAGCATGACAGTGTGGCATAGCTAGGAGGTCCAGACCAGGGTGGGAGGGAGAGAGGTTGCATTTATTAATAAGATTTTTTCATAGACCTCTACCGGGTGCTGATAAGAAAGCTTGGTGGCAGAATAGAAAACTGGAGACATCCCTCCTTAGTGATGCAGGTGTACGAGAGCTGATTGTCAGGAAATTATCTTCAACCTAGGGCCAACCAGAGATACAAGGCAGAGAAAGTCAACTTATTGATTCAAAAGTCTAGCTTTCAACAAAAAAATCATAATACATACATAGAAGCAGAAAAGTATGGCCCATTTAAAGGAAAATAACAAGTCAATATAAAGTATCTTTTAAAGACCTAATGAAAGATCTCCTAGACAAAGACTTTAAAATAACTAAACAACTATCTTAAAGATACTCAGAGAACTAAAGGAAGATACGGAGAAAGTCAAGAAAATAATAAATGAACAAAATGGAAATAACCACGAAGAAATAGAAAAGCTAAAAAGAAACCAAAAATATCTGGAATTGAAAAGTACAATAACTAAAATTAAAAATTTACCATAGAGATTCAAAGGCAGATTTGAATGAGCAGAAGAAAGAATCCATGAACTTGAAGGTTGGACAAAGGAAGTTATCAAGTCTGAGAAACAGAAAGAAAAAACTATGGGTGAAAACTGAATGGAGCTTAAGGGACCTGTGAGATGCCAGCAAGCAGAAAAACATACAGACTGTGGGAGTTTCAGAAGGAGAAAAAAATGGGGCAGCAAGATTATTTGAAGGAATAATAGCTGAAAATGTCCCAAGTTTGATGAAAGTCATGAATATGAACATCCCAGAAGATCAATAAACTCCAAGTAAAATGAACCAAAAAAAAAAACAAATACCAATACACATTGTAATCAAGCTTTTTAAAGGCAAAGAGAAAGAGAAAATAAATGCTGAAAAGAACAAAAGAGAAGTAACTCATCACATACCAGGGATCCTCAATAAAATAAGCAGAAAATTTCTCATTAGAAACTTTGGAAGCCAGAAGACAGTGAGCCAATATATTCAAAATACTAAAAGAAATTTACTGTCAACAAGGAATCCTACACCTGGCAAAACTATCCTTCAAAAGTGAGGGAGAGATTAATACATTCCCATATAAGGAAAAGCTGAAGGAGTTTATTACCCTAGACATTCCCTGAAAAAGGTTACTATACAGTAACTAAAAGTAACCAAAGCTATATAAAAAAATAAAGATTGAATAAAGATAAATACTTGGGCAATTATAAAAGCTAATATTATTGTAGCAATGGTCTGTAAAATATTTTGTTTTCTACGTAATTTAATAAAATAATGCATTTAAATTAATTATTAGTTTATGTTTTGGGGCACATAATTTAATAAAATAATGCATTTAAATTAATTATTAGTTTATGTTTTGGGGCACACAATGTATAAAGATATAATTCTGTAACATCAACAACTAAAAGGGGTGGGGGTAGTGCTATAAAAGAGCAGTTTTTGTATGTTATGGAAGTTAAGTTAATATAAATTCCAATTAGTGTTATAACTTTAGGGTATAAATGTAATCTCCATGATAATCACAAATAAAATAGCTATAGAATACACACAAAAAAATGAGAAAGGAATTTAAACATTTCACTACCAAAAAAAGTCAACTAAACACAAAAGAAAACTGTAATGCAGAAACAGGAATTTTTAGAAGCTAGATAATGAATAGCAAAAAAGCCTCCCCTTTTCAGTTGTCACTTTAGGTTTAGAGAGTTAAATAGCTTAAACTCTCTAATCAAAAGGCAGAGATTGGCAGAATGGATAAAAACACATGACTCAACTATATGCTATCTACAAGACTCAGTTTAGCTCCAAAGACAAATAGATTGAAAGTGAAAGAATGAAAATAGATATTCTATGCAAATAGTAATTAAAAGAGAGCAGTGGTGGCTATACTGATACACAAATAGGCTTTTTTATTATTATTATTATACTTTAAGTCCTAGGGTACATGTGCACTACGTGCAGGTTTGATATATATGTATACCTGTGACATGTTTGTTTGCTGCACCCATCAACTCATCATTTATATTAGGTATTTCTCCTAATGCTATCCCTTCCCCCAAAACCCACCCCACAACACGCCCTGGTGTGTGATGTTCCCCACCCTGTGTCCAAGTGATCTCCTTGTTCAATTCCCACCTATGAGTGAGAACATGCAGTTTTTTGGTTTTCTGTCCTTGTGATAGTTTCCTGAGAATGACGGTTTCCAGCTTCATCATGTCCCTGCAAAGGACATGAACTCATCCTTTTTTATGGCTGCATATTATTCCATGGTGTATATATGCCACATTTTCTTAATCCAGTCTATCATTGACAGACATTTGGGTTGGTTCCAAGTCTTTGCTATTGTGAATAGTGCCACAATAAACATACATGTGCATGTGTCTTTATAGTAGCATGATTTATAATCCTTTGGGTATATACCCAGTAATGGGATTGCTGGGTCAAATGGTAATTCTAGTTCTGGATCCTTGAGGAATCACCACACAGTCTTCCACAATGGTTGAACTAATTTACACTCTCACCAACAGTGTAAAAGCATTCCTATTTCTCCACATCCTCTCCAGCATCTGTTGTTTCCTGACTTTTTAATGATCGCCATTCTAACTGGCGTGAGATGGTATCTCATTGTGGTTTTGATTTGCATTTCTCTGATGACCAGTGATGATGAGCATTTTTTCATGTGTCTGTTGGTGGCATAGGTGTCTTCTTTTGAGAAGTGTCTGTTCATATCCTTCACCCACTTTTTGATGGGGTTGTTTGGTTTTTTTTTCTTGTAAATTTGTTTGAGTTCTTTGTAGATTTTGGATATCACCCCTTTGTCAGATGAGTAGATTGCAAAACTTTTCTTCCATTCTGTGGGTTGCCTGTTCACTCTGATGGTAGTTTCTTTTGCCTTGCAGAAGCTCTTTAGTTTAATTAGATCCCATTTTTCAATTTTGGCTTTTGTTGCCATTGCTTTTTGTGTTTTAGTCATGAAGTCCTAGTCCATGCCTATGTCCTGAATGGTATTGCCTAGGTTTTCTTCTAGGGTTTTTATGGTTTTAGGTCTAACGTTTAAGTCTTTAATCCATCTTGAATTAATTTTTGTATAAGGTGTAAAGAAGGGATCCAGTTTCAGCTTTCTACAAATGAGTAGCCGGTTTTCCCAACGTCATTTATTAAATAGGGAGTCCTTTCCCCATTGCTTGTTTTTGTCAGGTTTGTCAAAGACCAGATGGTTGTAAATGTGTGGTGTTATTTCTGAGGCCTCTGTTCTGTTCCATTGGTCTATCTCTCTGTTTTGGTACCAGTACCATGCTGTTTTGGCTACTGTAGCCTTGTAATACAGTTTGAAGTCAGGTAGTGTGATGCCTCCAGCTTTGTTCTTTTTGCTTAGGATTGTCTTGGCAGTTCAGGCACTTTTTGGTTCCATATGAACTTTAAAGTAGTTTTTTCCAATTATGTGAAGAAAGTCATTGGTAGCTTGATAGGGATGGCATTGAATCTATAAATTACTTTGGGCAGTATGGCCATTTTCACGATATTGATTCTTTCTATTCATGAGCATGGAATGTTCTTCCATGTTTGTGTCCTCTTTTATTTCGTTGAGCAGTGGTTTGTAGTTCTCCTCGAAGAGGTCCTTCACATCCCTTGTAAGTTGGATTCCTAGATATTTTATTCTCTTTGAAGCAATTGCGAATGGGAGTTCACTCATGATTTGGCTGTCTGTCTGTTAACGGTGTATAGGAATGCTTGTGGTTTTTGCACATTGATTTTGTATCCTGAGACTTTGCTGAAATTGCTTATCAGCTTAAGGAGATTTGGGGCTGAGATGATGGGATTTTCTAAATCTACAATCATGACATCTGCAAACAGGGACAATTTGACTTCCACTTTTCCTAATCGAATACACTTTATTTCTTTCTCTTGCCTGATGGCCCTGGCCAGAACTTCCAACACTATGTTGAATAGGAGTGGTGAGAGAGGGCATCCTTGTCTTGTGCCAGTTTTCAAAGGGAATGCTTCCAGTTTTTCCCCATTCACTATAATATTGGCTGTGTGTTTGTCATAAATAGCTCTTATTATTTTGAGATACATTCCATCAATACCTAGTTTATTGAGAGTCTTTAGCATGTAGGGCTGTTGAATTTTGTTGAAGGCCTTTTCTGCATCTATTGAGATAATCATGTGGTTTTTGTGATTGGTTCTGTTTATGTGATGGATTACGTTTATTGATTTGTGTATGTTGAACCAGCCTTGCATCCCAGGGATGAAGCCCACTTGATCATGGTGGATAAGCTTTTTGATGTGCTGCTGGATTCGGTTTGCCAGTATTTTATTGAGGATTTTCACATCAGTGTTCATCAGAGATATTGGTCTAAAATTATCTTTTCTTGTTGTGTCTCTGCCAGGCTTTGGTATCAGGATGATGCTGGCCTCATAAAATGAGTTAGGGAGGATTCCCTCTTTTCCTATTGATTGGTTTAGTCTTGGGAGGGTGTATGTGTCCAGGAATTTATCCATTTCTTCTAGATTTTCTAGTTTATTTGCATAGAGGTGTTCATAGTATTCTCTGATGATAGTTTGTATTCCTGTGGGATAGGTGGTAATATCCCTTTTATCATTTTTTATTACATCTATTTGATTCTTCTCTCTTTTCTTCTTTATTAGTCTTGCTAGCAGCCTATCAGTTTTGTTGATCTTTTCAAAAAACCAGCTCCTGGATTCACTGATTTTTTGAAGGGTTTTTTTGTCTCTATCTCCTTCAGTTCTGCTTTGATCTTAGTTATTTCTTGCCTTCTGTTGGCTTTTGAATTTATTGGCTCTTGCTTCTCCAGTTCTTTTAATTGTGATGTTAGGGTGTCGATTTTAGATCTTTCCTGCTTTCTCTTGTGGGCATTAAGTGCTCTAAATTTCCCTCTACACACTGCTTTAAATGTGTCCCAGAGATTCTGATACGTTGTGTCTTTGTTCTCATTGGTTTCAAAAAATATCTTTATTTCAGCCTTCATTTCATTATTTACCCAGTAGCTATTCATGAGCACGTTGTTCATTTTCCATGTAGTTGTGCAGTTTTGAGTGAGCTTCTTAATCCTGAGTTCTAATTTCATTGCACTGTGGTCTGAGAGACAGTTTGTTGTGATTTCTATTCTTTTACATTTGCTGAGGAGTGCTTTATTTCCAATTATGTGGTCAATTTTAGAATAAGTGCGATGTGGTGCTGAGAAGAATGTATATTCTGTTGATTTGGGGTGGAGAGTTCTGTAGATGTCTATTAGGTCTGCTTGTTGCAGAGCTGAGTTGAGGTCCTGTCTCGTTGATCTGTCTAATATTGACATTGGGATGTTAAAGTCTCCCATTATTACTGTGTGGGAGGCTAAGTCTCTTTGTAGGTCTCTAAGGATTTGCTTTATGAATCTGGGTGCTCCTGTATTGGGTGCATATATATTTAGGATAGTTAACTCTTCTTGTTGAATTCATCCCTTTACCATTATGTAATGGCCTTCTCTGTCTCTTTTGCTCTTTGTTGGTTTAAAGTCTGTTTTATCAGAGACTAGGAAGACTAGGATTACAACCCCTGCTTTTTTTTTTTTTTTTTTTTTTGCTTGCCATTTTCTTGGTAGATCTTCCTCCATCCCTTTATTTTGAGCCTATGTGTGTCTTTGCACGTGAGATGAGTCTCCTGAATATAGCACACTGATGGGTCTTGACTTTTTATCCAATTTACCAGTCTGTGTCTTTTAATTGGGCCATTTAGCCCATTTGCATTTTAGGTTAATATCATTATGTGGGAATTTGATCCTGTCATTGTGATGTTCACTGGTTATTGCCCGTAAATTGATGCAGTTTCTTCATAGTATCAATGGTCTTTACAATTTGGCCTCTTTTTGCTGTGGCTGGTACTGGTTGTTCCTTTCCATGTTTAGTGCTTCCTTCAGGAGCTCTTGTAAGGCAGGCCTGGTGGTGTCAAAATCTGTCAGCATTTGCTTGTCTGTAAAGGATTTTATTTCTCCTTCCCTTATGAAGCTTAGTTTGGCTGGATATGAAATTCTGGGTTGAAAATTCTTTTCTTTAAGAATGTTGAATATTGGCCCCCACTCTCTTCTGGCCTGTAGAGTTTCTGCTGAGAGATCTGCTGTTAGTCTGATGGGCTTCCCTTTGTGGGTAACCCGACCTTTCTCTCTGGCTTCCCTTAACACTTTTTCCTTCATTTCAACCTTGGTGAATCTGAAAATTATGTGTCTTGGGGTTGCTCTTCTTGAGGAGTATTTTTGTGGTGTTCTCTGTATTTCCTGAATTTGAATGTTGGCCTGCCTTGCTAGATTGGGGAAGTTCTCCCAGATAATATCCTGCTGCGTGTTTTCCAGCTTGGTTCCATTCTCCCCATCACTTTCAGGTACACCAATCAAATGTATATTTGGTCTTTTCACATAGTCCCATATTTCTTGGAGGTTTTGTTCATTTCTTTTTACTCTCTTTTCTCTAACCTTGTCTTCTCACTTTATTTCATTTATTTGGTCTTCAATCACTGATACCCTTTCTTCCACTTGATCGAATTGGCTATTGAAGCTTTTGCATGTGTCACAAAGTTCTCGTGTCATGGTTTTCAGCTCCATCAGGTCATTTAAGGTCTTCTCTACACTGTTTATTCTCGTTAGCCATTCATCTAATCTTTTCTCAAGGTTTTTAGCTTCCTTGCAATGGGTTCAAACATCCTCCTTTAGCTCGGAGAAGTTTGTTATTATCAACCTTCTGAAGCCTACTTCTGTCAACTTTTCAAAGTCATTCTCCATACAGCTTTGTTCCATTGCTGGCGAGGAGCTGTGATCCTTTGGAGGAGAAGAGGTGCTCTGATTTTTAGAATTTTCAGATTTTCTGCTCTGGTTCCTCCCCATCTTTTTGGTTTTATCTACCTTTGGTCTTTGATGTTGGTGACCTACAGATGGGGTTTTGGTGTAGACAACCTTTTTGTTTATGTTGATTCTATTCCTTTCTGTTTGTTAGTTTTCCTTCTAATAATCAGGTCCCTCAGCTGCAGGTCTGTTGGAGTTTGCTGGAGGTCCACTCCAGACCCTGTTTGCCTGGGTATCACCAGCAGAGGCTGCAGAACAGCACATATTGCAGAACAGCAAATATTGCTGCCTGATCCTTCCTCTGGAAGCTTCGTCTCAGAGGGGCAGCCACCTATATCAGGTTTCTGTCGGCCCTTACTGGGAGAAGTCTCCCAGTTAGGATACAAGAGGGTCAGGGACCCACTTGAGGAGGCAGTCTGTCCATTCTCAGAGCTCAAACACCATGGTGGGAGAACCACTGCTCTTTTCAGAGCTGTCAGACAGGGACATCTAAGTCTGTAGAAGTTGTCTGCTGCCTTTTGTTCAGCTATGCCCTGCCCACAGAGGTGGAGTCTAGAGGCAGTAGGCCTTGTTGAGCTGTGGTGGGTTCCATGTTTGAGCTTCCCGGCCACTTTGTTTACCTACTCAAGCCTCTGCAATGGTGGACACCCCACCGCCAGCCAGGCTGCCATCTTGCAGATCAATCTCAGACTGCTGCACCAGCAGTGAGCAAGGCTCTGTGGGCATGGGACCCACCGAGCCAGGCACGGGGTGGGTATCTCCTGGTCTGCCGTTGCTAAGACCTTGGGAAAAGCACAGGATTTGGGCGGGAGTGTCCCGTTTTTCCAGGTAGTCTGTCACGGCTTCCCTTGGCTAGGAAAGGGAAATCCACTGACCCTTTGTGCTTTCTGGGTGAGGCAACACCCCGCCCTGCTTCAGCTCACCCTCTGTGGGCTGCAGCCACTGTCCAACCAGTCCCAATGAGACGAACCAGGCACCTCAGTTGGAAATGCAGAAATCACCCGTCTTCTGCATCCATCACACTGGGAGCTGCAGACCAGAGCTGTTCCTATTTGGCCATCTTGGAATGCACCCCTACCCACTTCACAAAATAGACTTTAAATCAAAAAAGATTACAAGAGGCAAAGAAGGATATTATATATTAATAAAAGTTTTGATACAGCAAGAAGATGTAATAATTATGCATCTACTGACAAACCATCCAAATATCTGAAACAAAAACTGATAGAATTGAAGAGAGAAATAGTTCTATGATAATAATTGGAGACTTTAATATTCTACTCATAATAATGGATAGAACAACCAGATGGAATATAAGCAAGTAAACAGAGGACATAACACAATAAACCAACTACATCTAACAGACATATACAAAACATTCTTCCAAACAACAATAGCATAAATTTTCTTCTCAAGTGCACATGGGACATTTTCCAGGTTAGGCCACAAATTGACTCTTAATAGATTCAAAAAGATAGATAATATAAAAAAACTCCTCTAATCACAATGGGATGAAATTAGAAATCAGTAACACAAGTAAAACCGGAAATTTTACAAGTGTGAGGAAATTAAACAATACAGTCTTAAACAACAAATAGATGAAGGAAGAAATCAAAACGCAAATTAGAAAACACTTATATATTAATGAAAACAAAGATACAACATGCCAAAACTTACAAGATTCAGAGAAAGCAGTGATAAGGGAGACATTTATAGTTCTAAATGATTACATGTCTAAAAAGACCTCAAATCAACAACCTAACTTCACAACTTAAAGAACCAGAAAAAGAAGAACAAACTAAATCCAAAGCTAGCAGAGAGAAGGAAATAACAAAGATTACAGAAAAGATAAATTAAATAGAGAATAGAAAAAAATAGAGAAAAATCAATAAAACCAAAAGTTGGTTCTTTGAAAAGATCAACAAAAATGACAAACCTTAAGCTAGATGGACCAGAGAAAGAAAGAAGAGTCACATTACTAAAATCATAAATGAAAGAAGAGACATTATTACCAAATCTACAAAAATAGAAAGTATTACAAGATAATACTATAAATAAGTGTATGCCAACAAATTCAATAACTTAAATGAAATGAACAAATTCTTAAAAACACAAAACATACCAAGACTAAATTACAAATAAACAGAAAATCTGAATAGACTTGTAATTAGAGAGGTCATTGAATCAGTAATCAAAATATTCCAATAAAGGAAATCCCAGGACCTGAAGACCTGACTGGTGAATTCTACCAAACATTTGAAAAAGAACTAATACTAGTCCTTCTCAAACGTTTCAAAAAAATTGAAGTTGAGGGAACACTTTCTAACTCATTCTTTGAGGTTGGCATTACCCTGATAAGCTAAACAAAGCCCAACAATGATAATACAAGAAAATAAAACTACAGGCTAATATATTTACAAATATGGATGCAAAAAAATCCTCAAAAACTACTAGCAAGCTGAATTCAGCAGCATATTAAAAGGACTAGACATGATAACCAGGTGGGATTTATTCCTGGAATGCGATGGTTCAACACTAAAAAAAAATGGATCAGTATAATACACAACAACAACAAAATGAAGGAAAAACAAACACAATTATCTCAGTTGATGCAGAAAAAGCATTTGACGAAATTCAACATCCTTTTATAAAAACAACATTCAACAAACTAAGAATAGAAGGTAATGCCTAGGCAACACAATGAGACCTTGTCTCTACTAAAGAACGTTTTAAATTAGCCAGACAGTGGCACACAACTGTAGCACCTCCTCAGGAGGCTGAGGTGGGAAGACCACTTGAGCCTGGAAGTTTGAGGCTGTGGATAGCTATGATTGTGCCACTCTACCTCAGCCCATGTGACAGAGTGAGACACCGTCTCAACAACAACGAATAGAAAGAAACTACTTAAACATAATAAAAGCCATATACGAAAAATTCACAGTGAACCTCATACTCGATGGTGAAAGGCTGAATGCTCTTCCTCTAAAATCAGGAACAAGGCAAGGATGCCCACTTTCATCATATCTATTCAACATAGTACTGGAAGTTCTAGTCAGAGCAATTAGGCAAGAAAGAGAAATATTTGGAAGCCTTTCAGACTGGAAAGAAAGAAGTAAAATTTATGTCTGTTCACAGATAATATAATTTTATACATGGAAAACCTTAAATATTTCACACACACACACACACACACACACACACACACACAAACTGTTAGAACCAATAAACAAATCAGCAAAGTAGCAGGATACAAAGTCAACGTAAAAATCAGTTGCATTTCTATATACTAACAATGAACAATGTGAATAGAACATTTTATTTAAGATTGCAGTCAGTGGGTCAGGTGCAGTGGCTCACATCTGTAACCCCAGTATTTTGGGAGGCCAAGGTGGGCAGATCGCTTGAGGTCAGGAGTTCAAGATCAGCCTGCCCAACATGGCAAAACCCCATGTCTACTAAAAATACAAAAATTAGCCAAGTATAGTGGTATGTGCCTGTAGTCCCAGGTACTCGGGAGGCTGAGGCATGAGAATCGCTTGAACCCCAGAGGCAGAGGTTGCAGTCAGCCGAGATTATGCCACTGCACTCTAGCCTGTGTGACAAAGCAAGACTCTGTCTCAAAAAATAAAAATAAAAAAAAAGATTGCAATTGGCAATCCCATCTCCATTAACATCAAAGAGGATAAAATACTTAGGAATTAGCTTACCCAAGGAGGTGAAGTTAAAATAAAAACTACAAAATAAAGTGGAAAGAAGCTAATGAAGACATAAATAAAAGGAAACATATCCCATTTTCATGGACTGGAAGACAATGTTGGTAAGATGTCAATACTACCCAAAGTGTTCTAAAATTCAATGCAATCCAAATTAAAATTCCAATGACAATTTTTGCAGAAATAGAAAAGCCCATTCTAAAATTTGTATGGAATCGCAGGTGACTCCAAGTAGCCAAAACAATCTTGAAAATGCAAAACAAACCCGGAGGCATCATAGTTCCTGATTTTTTAAATTTGCAGTGCTAAGTAATCAAAACCATCTGGTACTGGTATAACAACAGACATATAGGCCAAGGGAATAGAGTAGAGAGAAGTAAACCCTCACATATATGGTCAAAGGATGTTTGACAAAAATACCAAGACCATTCAATGGGAAAAGGACAGTCTTTTCAACAAATAGTGCTGGGGAAACTGGACATCCACATGCAAAAGAATAAAATTCAACCCTTACCTACCACCATATACAAAATTTAACTCAAATGGATCATAGTTTAAAATGTAAGACCAAAACGATGAAATTCTCAGCAGAAAACAGAGCAAAATCTTCACATCTTTGGATTTGGCAAAGATTTCTTAGATACAACACCAATGGCACAAGCAACAAAAGAAAAAATAAGCAAAGTAGACTTCATGACAATTTTAAAACTTTATGCATCAGACTATCAACAGAGTAAAAAGGCAGCCCACAGAGTGGGAGAAAAGATTTGCAAATCGGGCCGGGAATGGTGGCTCACACCTGTAATCCCAGCATTTTGGGAGGCTGAAGCACACGGATCACCTGAGGTCAGGAGTTTGAGACCAGACTGACCAACATGGAGAAACCCCATCTCTGCTAAAAATAAAAAATTAGCCAGGCATGGTGGCACATGCCTGTAATCCCAGCTACTTGGGAGGCTGAGGCAGTAGAATCACTTGAACTTGGGAGGCAGAGGTTGCGGTGAGCCAAGATCATGCCATTGCACTCCAGCCAGGGAAACAAGAGCGAAACTCCGTCTCAAAAGAGAAAAAGAAAATATTTGCAAATCATATATCTGATAAGCGACTAATAATTTGAATATCTAGAGAACTCCTAAAACTCAACGATAAAACAGCCCAACTTAAAATGGACAAAGAATTTGAATAGACATTCCTCCAAAGAAGGTACAAAAATGACCAATAAGCACATGAAAAGATGCTATACATTGCTTATCACCGGGGAAATTCAAATTAAACTTTTCGCACCCATTAGCGTGCCTACTATAAAAAGAAATAAATAAAGGGTGTTTGCAAGGATGTGGAGAAATTGGAACTTCTGTGCATTGTTGGTGGGAATGTAAAATGGTGCAGCCACTATGGAAAACAGTATGGTGGCTTCTCAAAAAATTAGAAATAGAATTATCTATGATTCAGCAATTCTACTTCTATGTATATACCCAAAAGAATTGAAAGTAGGATATCAAAGAGATATTTATACACCTATGTTCATAACAGCATTCTTCATAGTAACTAAAGTTTGGAAATAACACAAGTGCCCATCAACAGATATGTGGGCAAGTAAAATGTGACACATACATACAATGGAATATTATTCAGCCTTAAAAAAGAAGGAAATCCTGTTACATGCTACAATATAAATGAACTTGAGGACACTATGGCTAAGCAAAATAAGCCAGTCACAAAAGGACAAATATGTATGATTTCATTTATATGAAGTATTTAAAGTAGTAAAAATCATAGAAACAGAAAGTAAAAGCATGGTTACCAAGGACTGAGGGGAAGGTAGAGAGAGGGTTAGTGTTTAGTAGGCATAGAGTCTCAGTGTTGCAAGATGAAAGTGTTCTAGAGATACACTGCACAATAACGTGAATATACTTAACACTACTGAACTGTACATTTTAGAATAGTAAAGATGAGAAATGTAATGTTATATGTTTTATCATAATCAAAATAGAATTTTTAAAAAAGACAATGGCCAAGAATATTCCAAAAATAATGAAGGAAAACAGATTATTAATACAATAAGCCTGAGAACTCCAAGCAAGACAAATAACACCACACACACACACACACACACACACACACACACACACACACACCCCTAGACCCATTATAGTCAAATTACTGAAATCTGAAGATAAAAAGAGAATCTCACAGGCAGAGAGAAATAGAACAGAAATATTGTAAATAGAGGAATGAAAACAAGAATCGCAGCAAACGTAAAAAGTATGCAAGCTATCAACACTGGAGAAACCTCTTTAAAGTGCTGAAATGAAAAAAGTCAATCCCCAGTTCTAGACACAGCTAAAATAACTTTCAAAATTGAAGACAGGAAGGCAGAGCAGGATGGCAGAATAGAAGACTCTACTGATCACACCCTTACAAGGACACTAATTTAACAAACATCTACACACACACCAAAAAAAAAAAAAAAAAAAAAAAAACCTTTATAAGAACCAAAAATCAGGTGAGCACTCACAGTGTTGGTTTTACCTTCATATTGCTGAAAGAGGCACTGCAGTAGTAGAAAAGGCAGTCTTGAATCGTGGATGCCACCCCTCCCTCACCCCCTGGCAGCAGTGGCATTGTACAGAGATTATTTCTGTGTGCTGGGGGAGGGAGAGCACAGCAATTGTGAAAGATTGAATTCAGTGCTGTCCTGTTATAGCAGAAAGGAAAACCAGACCAAACTCAGCTGATGTCCATCCATGGAGGGAGCATTTAAACCAGCCCTAGCCAGCGAGGGATTGCAGATTCTAGTGGCCCAAACTTGAGTTCCCACAAACCCCACCACCTTGGGCTAAAGTGCTCAGGGGCTCTAAATAAATTTGAAAGGCAGTCTAGACCACGAGAACTGCAACATTTACATGAGTCCTACAACTGAACTGGGCCCAGAGCTAGTAGACTGGGCAGGGTGGGGACATGCAACCTGTGGGTCTGTCATATATGGTTTTTATTATGTTAAAGTATGTTCCTTCTATACCCAATTTTTCCAGGGTTTTATTATGAAGATAATGTTGAATTTTATCTAACACGTTTTCAGCATCAATTGAAATGATCATATGGTGGTTGTCCTTCATTCTGTTAATATGACGTGTTACATTGATTGATTTGCATATGCTGAACAATCCTTGTGTCCCAGAGATAAATTCCACTTGGTCATGTTCAATGATCTCTTTAACATATGTTGAATTTGGTTTACTAGTATTTTGCTGAGGATTTTTGCATCAATATTCATCAGAGATATTGCCCTGTAGTTTTCTTTCTTGATGCTTCTTTGTCTGCTTTTGATATTAAAGTAATACCAGCCTTGCAAAATGAGTTTGGGAGTATTCCTTCCTCCTCTATTTTTTGGAATTCTTTGAGTAGCATTAGTGTTAGTTCTTTAAATGTTAGGCAAAATTCAGCAGTGAAGCCATTGAGTCTCAGGCTTTTCTTTGCTTGGAGACATTTTATTATGGCTTTCATCTCATAACTTGTTATTGGTCTGTTCAGGTTTTTTATTTCTTCATGGTCAAATCTTAGTAGGTTGTATGTGTCTAGAAATTTGTCCATTTCTTCTAGATTTTTCCAACTTACTGGCATATAGTTGCTCACAGTAGCCAGTAATAATCCTTTGCATTTCTGCATTACCAGTTGTAATGTTTCCTTTTATAGCTCTGATTTTATTTATCTGGATCTTCTCTCTTTTTCTCAGTTAGCCTGGCTAAAGGTTTGTCAAATTTGCTTATCTTTTCAAAGAAATATTTTATTTCTTTGATCTTTTGTATTATTTTCTTTATTTCAATTTCATTTATTTCTGCTCTGATCTTTATTACATTTCTTCTACTATTCTTAGGTTTGGTTTGAGCTTGCTATTCTAGTTCCTTAAAATGCATCAGTGGGTGGTTTATTTGAGGTTTTTCTAGTTTTTGATGTAGGTGCTTATAGCTATAAACTTTCCTCTTAGTATTGCTTTCACTGTATCCCAGCAGTTTTGGTATGTTGTGTTTCCATTATCATTTGTTTCAAGAAATTTTGACTTTTCCTTCTTAATTTCTTCATTGACATACTGTTCATTCAGGAGCATATTGTGTAATTTCCATGTGTATGTATAGTTTCCAAAATGTCTCTTGTTACTGACATCTAGTCTTATTTCATTGTGGTCAGAGAAGATACTTGATATAATTTCAGTTTTTTCAAACGTTTTAAGACTTGTTTTGCGGTCTAAGATATGATTTATCGTTGAGAACAATCCATGTGTTGAGGAGAATGTGTATTCTGCAGCAATTGTATGAAATGCTCTGTAAATATCTATTAGATCTATTTGGTCTATAGTGCAGATTAAGTCAGATGTTTCTTCTTTTTTTTTTTTTTTTTTTTGTGAGATGGAGTCTCACTGTTGTCACCTGGGCTGGAGTGCAATGGTGTGATCTCAACTCACTGCAACCTCCGCCTCCCAGGTTCCAGCAATTCTACTGCCTCAGCCTCTCAAGTTGCTAAGATTACAGGCACCTGCCACCACGCCCAGCTAATTTTTGTATTTTTAGTAGAGACGGGGTTTCACTATGTTGGCCAGGCTGGTCCCGAACCCCTGACCTCAGGTGATCCACTCACTTTGGCCTCCCAAAGTGCTGGGATTACAGGTATGAGCCACCACGCCCAGCCTAAGTCAGATATTTCTTTATTTTCTGTCTGGAAGATCTGACATTGCTGAAAGTGGTGTGTTGAAGTCTCCAGATATCATTGCACTGGGGATTATCTCTCTCTTTAGCACTAAAAATATTTGCTTCATATATCTGGGTGCTCCAGTGTTGGATGCACATATATTTAAAGTTGTTATGTTCTTTTGCTGAACTAACCCCTTTCTCATTATGTAATGACATTCTTTGTCTCCTTATAGTTTTTGTCTTAAAATCTACTTTTGCCTGATATAAGTACAGCTACTTCTGCTTTTTTTTTTTTTTTTTTTTTTTTTTGGCATGGAATATCTTTTTCAATTCCTTTATTTTTAGTTTATGTGTGTCTGTATAGGTGAAGTGTGTTTCTTGTAGGCAACAGATAGTTGGGGTATTTTTTTAATTTTTTTTATTATACTTTAAGTTCTAGGGTACATATGCACAACATGCAGGTTTGTTACATACGTATACATGTGCCGTGTTGGTGTGCTGCACCCATTAACTCATCATTTACATTAGGTATTTCTCCTAATGCTATCCCTCCCTGCTCCCCCAACCCCACGACAGGTCCTGGTGTGTGATGTTCCCCACCCTATGTCCAAGTGTTCTCATTGTTCAATTCCCACCTATGAGTGAGAACACGCGGTGTTTGGTTTTCTGTTCTTGTGATAGTTTGCTCAGAATGATGGTTTCCAGCTTCATCCATGTCCCTGCAAAGGACATGAACTCATCCTTTTTTAAGGCCGCATAGTATTCCGTGATGTATATGTGCCACATTTTCTTAATCCAGTCTATCATTGATGGACATTTGGGTTGGTTCCAAGTCATTGCTATTGTGAATAGTGCCACAATAAACATGCGTGTGCATGTGTCTTTATAGTGGCATGATTTATAATTCTTTGGGTATATACCCTGTAATGGGATCGCTGGGTCAAATGGTATTTCTAGTTCTAGGATTGCCACACTGTCTTCCACAATGGTTGAACTAATTTACACGCCCACCAACAATGTAAAAGCATTCCTATTTCTCCACATCCTCTCCAGCATCTGTTGTTTCCTGACTTTTTAATGATTGCCATTCTAACTGGCGTGAGATGGTATCTCATTGTGGTTTTGACTTGCATTTCTCTGATGGCCAGTGATGATGAGCATTTTTTCATGTGTCTGTTGGCTGCATAAATGTCTTCTTTTGAGAAGTGTCTGTTCATATCCTTTGAGGGTTTTGTTTTTTATCCATTCAGCCACTCTATGTCTTTTGATTGGAGAGTTTAGTCCATTTACATTCAATGTTATTATTGATAAGTAAGGACTTACTCCTGCCATTTTGTTATTTGTTTTCTGGTTGTTTTGTGGTTTTCACTTTCTTCTTTATCTCCTTCCTGTTTTACTTTTAGTGAACATGATTGTCTCTGGTGGTATGTTTTAATTTCTTGCTGTTTATTTTTTGTATATCTGTTGTATTTTTTTATTTGAGGTTACCATGAGGCTTGCAAATAATATCTTGTAACCCATTACTTTAAACTGATGAGAACTTAACACTGATTGCATAACAAAGAACCTAACAAACAAGCAAAAAGAAACTAATAAAAACTCTACACTTTAACCTTGTCCCCTCACTTTTAAACTTTCTTTGGTTTCCATTTATATCCTACTGTATGATACATGTCTTGAAAAATTATAGTTTTTTATCTGTTTATCTTATAGTCTTTCTACTCAAGATATGAGTAGTTTACACACCACAATTACAGTGTTATAACATGCTGTGTTTTTCTGGGTACTTACTATTACCAGTGAGTTTTAAACCTTCAGGTGATTGCTTATTGCTTATTAATATTACTTTTCTTAGAACTCCCTTTAGCATTTCTTGTAGGACAGGTCTGATGTTGATGAAATCTCTCAGCTTTTGTTTGTCTGGGGAAGTCTTTATTTCTTCTTCATGTTTAAAGGATATTTTCACGGGATACCCTATTCTAGAATAAAAGATTTTTCCTTCAGCACTTTAAATATGTCATGTCACTCCTGGCCTGTAAAGTTTCCACTGAAAAAATCTGCTGCCAGATATATTGGAGGTTTATTTTATTATATTCCTTTCTTTTCTCTTTTTTTTCTTTTTTTTTCTTTTTTTTAAATTATACTTTAAGTTTTAGGGTACATGTGCACAACATGCAGGTTTGTTACATATGTATACATGTGCCATGTTGGTGTGCTGCACCCATTAACTCGTCATTTAGCATTAGGTATATCTCCTAATGCTATCCCTCCCGCCTCCCCCCACCCCACAACAGTCCCCAGTGTGTGATGTTCCCCCTCCTGTGTCCATCTGTTCTCATTGTTCAACTCCCACCTATGAGTGAGAACATGCGGTGTTTGGTTTTTTGTCTTTGCGATAGTTTGCTGAGAATGATGGTTTCCAGCTTCATCCATGTCCCTACAAAGGACACAAACTCATCCTTTTTTATGGTTGCGTAGTATTCCATGGTGTATATGTGCCAGTCTATCATTGTTGGACATTTGGGTTGGTTCCAAGTCTTTGCTATTGTGAATAGTACCGCAATAAACATACGTGTGCATGTGTCTTTATAGCGGCATGATTTATAATCCTTTGGGTATATACCCGGTAATGGGATGGCTGGGTCAAATGGTATTTCTAGTTCTAGATCCCTGAGGAATCGCCACACTGACTTCCACAACGGTTGAACTAGTTTACAGTCCCACCAACAGTGTAAAAGTGTTCCTATTTCTCCACATTCTCTCCAGCACCTGTTGTTTCCTGACTTTTTAATGATCGCCATTCTAACTGGTATAAGATGGTATCTCATTGTGGTTTTGATTTGCATTTCTCTGATGACCAGTGATGATGAACATTTTTTCAGGTGTCTTTTGGCTGCATAACTGTCTTCTTTTGAGACGTATCTGTTCATATCCTTCACCCACTTTTTGATGGGGTTGTTTGGTTTTTTCTTGTAAATTTGTTTGAGTTCTTTGTAGAAGCTGGATATTAGCCCTTTGTCAGATGAGTAGATTGCAAAATTTTCTCCCATTTTGTAGGTTGTCTGTTCACTCTGATGGTAGTTTCTTTTGCTGTGCAGAAGCTCTTTAGTTTAATTAGATCCCATTTGTCAATCTTGGCTTTTGTTGCCATTGCTTTTGGTGTTTTAGACATGAAGTCCTTGCCCATGCCTATGTCCTGAATGGTATTGCCTAGGTTTTCTTCTAGGGTTTTTATGGTTTTAGGTCTAACATTTAAGTCTTTAATCCATCTTGAATTAATTTTTGTATAAGGTGTAAGGAAGGGATCCAGTTTCAGCTTTTCTCTTGCTGCTTGTAGGATCCTTTCTTCATCCTTGAACTTTGAGAGTTTGATTATTAAATGTCTTTAGGTAGTATTCTTTGGCTTAAATCCACTTGCTGTTTAAAATCTCCTCGCAGTTAAATATTGATATCTTTCTCTAGGTTTGGGAAGTTCTTTCTTATTATCTCTTTAAATAAACTTTCTACCCCTATCTCTTTCTCTACCTCCTCTTTAAGGCCAGCAACTATTAGATTCACTATTTTCAGACTGTTTTGTAGATCTTGTAGGCATGCTTCATTCTCTTTTAATTCTTTTTTCTTTTGTGTCCTCTGACTATTTTCAAATAGCCTGTCTTCAAGCTCACTAAGTCTTTATTCTGCTTGATCAAGTCTACTGTTAAGAGACTCTGATGCATTCTTCTGTATGCCAATTGCATTTTTCAGCTCCAGAATTTCTGCTTGATTGTTTAATTATTTCAATGTCTTAATTAAATTTATCTGATAGACTTCTGAATTCCTTCTCTGTGTTATCTTAAATTTCTGTATTTCCTCAAAACAGCTATTTTGAATTCTCTTTCTGAAAGGTCATATATCTCTGTCTCTCCAGGATTGGTCCCTGGTGCCTTATTTAGTTCATTTGGTGAGGTCATATTTTTCTGGATGGTCTTGATGCTTGTGGATGTTCATCAGTGTAAAGAGGTGGGCATTTATTGTAGTCTCTGCAGTCTGGGCTTATTTGTACCTATCTTTCTTGAGAATATTTTCCAGATATTCAAAGGGACTTGGGTTTTGTGATATTAATTTTTGGTCGTTGCAACCATATCTGCATTAGGAGGCACCCCAAGCCCAGTAACACTGCAGCTCTTGCAAACTCATAGAGGTACTGCCTTGGTGGTCTTAGATAAGATCTGGAAGAATTATCTGGATTACCAGGTGGAGACTTGTTCTCTTCCCTTACTTCCTCCCAAAGATATAAAGTCTCTCTCTCTGTGCTAAGCTGCCTGGTGCTGGGGAAGAGGTAACACAAGCATATCTGTGGCCACCACCACCAAGACTGCACTGGGTCAGACCTGAAGACAACACAGCAGTGGGGCTTACCCAAGGCCCATGGCAACCACTGCCTGGCTACCATCTTTGTTTGCTCAAGGTTGTAGGGCTCTATAATCAGCAGGTAGCAAAGCCAACCAGGTTCATGTCCTTCCATTCAGGGCAGTGAGTTCCCTCTGGACCCAGCTGAGTCCAGAGATGCCATTCAGGAGCCAGTGCCTAGAGTCAGAAACCTTAGGAATCTACTTGGTGCTCTGTTCTACTGTGGCTGAGCTGGCACCCAAGCCACAAGATAAAGTCCTTCCCACACTTATCTTCCCTTTGCACCAGCAAGGGAGTGTCTTCCCTTGACCACGACTACCCCAGAACTATGCTGAGTACTGCCTGGCTACCACCGATGTTCACTCAAGGCCCAAGGGCTCTTCAGTCAGCTTATGGTGAATGGTGCCAGGCCTAGGACTCTCCCTTCAGGGCATTGGGCTCCCCTCTGGCCCAGGGCAGGTCCAGAAATGCCATCCAATTACCAAGGCCTGGAATCGGGGACCCCAAGAGCTCACTTGATGCTCTACCATACTGTGGCAGAGCTGATACCTAAGCTGCCTTTCCCAAACAAAAGGAGTCTCTCCCCATAGCTACAACAGCTGGGAATGTGCTGGGTCACATATGAAGCCAACATGCCTCTGAGTCTCACCCAAGGCCCTCAGCAAGTACTGCCTGTTTACCACTACTAATTATTCAGGGCCCAAGGGCTCTTTAGTCAGTTGGTAATGAATCTTGCCAGGATTGGGTCCTTTACTTCAAGGCAACGAGTTTCCTTCTAGACCTTCTAGACCATTTCCTGTCTAGAAATGTCCAGGATCTAACACCTGGAATGAGGGCATCAGGAGTCTGGCTGATGCCCAATCCTACTGCGGCTGAGACAGAGTCCTTTTTACTCTCCCCTCTCTTCTCCCTGGCAGTGGGAAAAAGTTTCTTCCAGAGCTGTGCTGCCTGTTGTTGGGCTGGCACAAGCACTGCTGTGGTGGCCCTGGCTTGTGTCTCACTGGGTTGCATGCCCCCACTGTCTCCCAGCCCAGCACAGCACCAAGACTTGCCTAAGAATTGTAGTCCCTGTGGCCTGGACTGCCTTTCAAGTTTATTTAGAACCCAAAGCACTTTGGCTGTCAGGGGTGAGGCTTGCCAGAACTCAGCTTCGGACCACTGGAATGGGCAATTCCCCTCCTGGCCTGATCTAAATGCTCCTTCCATGGGTGCTGGCTAATTTCTATCTAATGTTGCTTTCCACTATATAAGGGCAGCACTGAGTTTCAATGCAAAGTCTCACAATCACAGTACTCTTCCTTTCCCAAGCACGCAGATTCTGTCTCCACACCACACAGCTACTGCCAGCGAATGGGGAAGGGATAGCATTGGAAATTCAAGACTATATTTCCTACCTTCTTCAGTGCCTTTTTCAGTGACATAAAGTTAAAACCAGGTACTATGATCACTCGCTGATTTTTGGTTCTTATGATGGTGCATTTTTTTGTGTGAATAGTTGTTCTATTTGGTGCTTCTACAGGGAGGACAATCAATGGAGGCTTGTATCCAGCCATCTTGCTCCAGCTCTTCTGTTTTTTTTTATTATTATTATTCATCTAAAAGGTAATTAATTATCTAGCTGAGAGTAGTGGCTCATGCTTTTAATCCCAGCACTTTGGGAGGCAGGTGGATCACTTGAGCCCAAGAGTTTGAGCAGCCTGGTTAACATAGTGAGACCCTGTCTCTATTTAAAAATAAATAAATAAAAGCTGATTGACTAAGGAAAAAATAGAAACAATGTATTGTGGGCCTTATAACATTTATAGAAGTAAAATATATGATATCAACAGCACATAGGAGGAGAGGAAATGAAGTATACTGTGGAAAGTACACTATATATTATATACTATACTATTTGAAAGTAGATTGTTATAAGGTAAAATACCTATTATAAACCATAGGAAAACCACTGTTAGGAAAAAAACAATAAGCCAATATTGGAGATTAAATGAAATTAAAAAAGAAGGCAGGAAAAAAATGAACAAAGAAAAGATGGTGAAATTAGAAAACAACTAACAAGGTGGTATATTTAAATCCAACTTAATAATGACTTAATTAAATGATGGAATCTGAACACCCCAAAAAAGACAGAGATTATCAGATTGAATTTAAAAACAAGACATGTTATCTTTAAGAAATCTACAGTAAATATAAAGACATAAATAGGTTTCAAATAAAGGGATGTAAAGGAATATACTAAGCAAATACATTAAAAGAAAGGTAGGTGGCTATTTTAATATCAGATAGAGTAAATCCCACAATGAATAGCATTGCCAAATTTTTTTCACATTAGCAAATTGAATTCAGCCGCACATGCAAAGGATAATATATCATGAAAAAGTGGGGCTTATCTTGGTTCTGTAAAGTTGGCTCAACTTTAGAAAGTCAATCAATGAAACTCACCATATCTCAGACTAAAAGCTAAAAATCAATAAAGAAAAAGATTTGAGGAAATTCAACATTATGTCAGCATATAAAAGTAAACTAAAAGTAGAAGGAAACTTCCTCAACCTGATAAAGAGAATTTACTAAAATTTACAGCTAATATACTAACTAATGGCAAAAGACTAAATAAATTCCTACTAGGATCAGGAGCAGGGTAGACATTTTTTTTTTTTTTTTTTTTTTTTTTTGACAGAGTCTCGCTCTGTCACCCAGGCTGGAGTACAGTGGCGTGATCATGGTTCACCGCAACCTCCACCTCCCAGGTTCAAGCCATTCTCCTTCCTCGGCCTCCTGAGTAGCTAGAATTACAGGCGTGCACCACCATGCCCAGCTAATTTTTGTATTTTCAGTAGAGACGGAGTTTCACCATGTTGGTCAGGCTGGTCTCGAACTGCTGACCTCATGATCCGCCTGCCTCAGCCTCTCAAAGTGTTGGGATTACAGGTATGAGCCACCATGCCTGGCCACAAATTTTTTTCTCACTGTTCCTACTCAACAACATACTGGAGGTCCTAGACAATGCAAAATAAGGCAAGAAAAAAAATAATATGCATACAGTTTGGAAAGGAAGAAGCAGAACTATCATTTTCACAGATGTCATAATTGTCTACATAAAAAATCCCAAAGAGTCTACAAAACATTACTAGAACTAAGACATGAGTTTAGCAAGTTTGCAGGATATAAAGCCAATATTCAAAACTCATTTCCATTTCTGTGTACCAGTAATGAGATATTAAAACTGTATTTTCAAATACCATTTACTATCACTTTAAAAATCATGGAATATTTAAGGGTAAATTCAACAAAATATACACAAGAGCTCTCCACCAAAAACTGTAAAGTGTTAATGAGAGAAATTAAAGAAGACATAAATCAAAGGAGAGATACTTGTGTTCACAGATCAAAAGGGGCAATAGTGTTAAGATGTCAGTTCTCCCAGATTTGATACATAGATTCAATGTTATCCCAAGCAAAATCTCAGCAGACTTTTCTGTAGATTCTGACAAGCGATTCTAAAACTTATATGGAAAAGCAGAGACTCTAGAATTTCCAAAGTGATTTTGAAAAGTAAGAACTAAATTACAAGATTCACGTAACCTGATTTCAAGGCTCACTATCAAGCCACAGTAATCAATACAGTGTGACACTGGCAAAATGGAAAAAACAGAGTCCAGAAATAGGTCCACAAATATATGGTCAACTGTATTTTCAACAAAGATGCCAAAAAAATTTAATGGGGAAAGGACAATTTTTCAACATAGAGCACTGAAAAAATTAACCAGATTTTTATATGCAAAAAAAAAAAACAAACTTTGACTCTTACCTTATGCTATATAAAACAGTAAACTCAAAATGGATAATAGACCAAAATGTAAAACCTAAAACCATAGGACTTCCAGAGGAAAGCATACAAAAAATATTTTATGACTTAGGTTAGGCAAAATTTTCTTACATATCACACCAAAAGCACAATCCATTTTTTTAAATTCATAAATTGGATTTAATCAAAGTTCAAAACTTCTGCTCTTTGAAAGGCAAGGCAAAAGTGAGTCACGAAGTGGAATAAAATATTTGCAAAACACATAACTGACAAAGAACTTGTTCCCAGAACATATGAAGAATGCTTAGAATTCAATTATAAAACAACAAACAGTCCAATAAAATTGGGGAGGTGGCAAAAACAGACACTTCGACAAAGTAGAGACAGCGAAGGCACTATGTACGTGGGGGAAATGCGCAATATCATTAGTCATTAGGGAAATAAAAATTAAACCACACTCAGATAGCACTTTACACCTATTGCAGTACCTAAAATTTAATTTTAAATATAACTAACAATATCAAGTACTGGAAAGGATGTGGAAGAAATAGAACCTTCATGCATTGCTGATAAAAGTAACAAAATGGCACGGCCAGCTTAGAAAACAGTTTGCCCATTTCGTATAAAGTTGAACATACACTTACCATGTAACCCAGTGGTAATACATACCCTAGCTATGTACCTAAGATCAATGAAAGCATACATCCACACAAACACCATTACACAAATCTCTATAGGAGCTTTATCCATGATTGCCAAAACCTGGAAAGCGTCCAAATATCTACCAACTACCTAGTGGATAAATTGTGTTACATCCATGAAATAGAATACTTCTTAACAGTTAAAAGGAAGGAACTACTGATATATAAATGATTCTCAAAAGTATCATGTTAAGTGAAAGGAGCCAGAATCAAAAAATGCATACTGTTTGATTCCATTTATATGACATTGTGGAAAAGGCAAAATTACAGCGACAGAAATCACTTGCCAGCACCCGGGGGAAGCGGGAAAGGATTGACTACAAAAGACCACAAATTAACTTTGGAGGATGATGGAAATAGTCCGTATCTTGAACACATTATACAACTATACATGTTTGTCAAAACTCACCAAAGGGTGAATTTTACTGTACATAAATTATATCTTAGTAAACCAGACTTCTTCAAAAAGACTATCAAGAATGGATATATATAGGCTCATCATCTTATATTCGTTAAATTGAGTGTAGTTCTACACTTCCAAAATAAAACATTTTAAAATGAATTGCAACATCATGCAAATGATCTTCAGCTTCCATTTTTAACAGGCTATTTATTTCAAATGTTAAATGCAATGCAAAATAAGCCACAGACGGGGAGTAAATGATTACAGAAAACATTCTGATAAAGGACTTGCAATAACATACATAAATGCATATATAAACATGTATATTATTATATATACATATATATATTCCTAAGTGTTGAAAAACTTTGCCCAAGTAAGGTTGCGTGGAACAAGAAAATTCTTAGCAGAAAACTTTTGCTATAATGCAGATTCTAGTTTCAATACCCTCTTTTCACTAACAATAATTCATGATATCCCAAGTAATTCTAAGCTTAAGCCAGTCTTAATTTAAGGGTTGTTAAGAAGACAAAAAAATTAAAGAATTTTACAAAATTCATTTAGATCCAAGGCATCTTAAACTATGGGAACAATTAAGGAAAACCATGATACAAAATGTATTCATTCCCATCCCCCCAAATCTTCCACAAGTAGACAATGCCTTGTATACAAGAGCTACTTGATGATTATTTGTACTTTTTTTTAAGCCATAGATCTTATTTGTAAGGGACAAGTCTTAACAACAAATCTGAGAAATTACACACTGTTATTAATGTGCTTTTAAATATAAAACTTTATAAACTTGTACCTGTATCCAAAAATGTCCTCTTTCTGGAAGACATATGTAGTATCTCTAACTTAATCTTAGTGTAAAAATTATATAACTCTGCCAGTGTAAATAAAATCATGCCCTTTCATAATTTTATTGAACTGACTTGTAGGACTACCAGGCCATCATGTATGGCTGTTGTCAGTTGCATCTGGAATAAAGGCATGCAGCCCACGGGACATGGATGTGCTTTGAAATGCAGCCCTTACTCTGTTGCAAGCCTTGTGTCATTACTAATAAAAAGTGGCACCTTTTTTCTAATAGTCCTCCTAACCGAGGACCTTTGTACAATTTTGAACTCAGAGGGTGCCCCCACTGCCTTGTTTTTGTTTGTTTTTTGGGGTGTTTTTTTGTTTTGTTTTGTTTTGTTTTGTTTTGTTTGAGATGGAGTTTCACTCTTCTTGCCCAGGCTGGAGTGCAATGCCACGATCTCGGCTCACTGCAACCTCTGCCTCCTGGGCTCAAGCGATTCAACTGCCTCAGCCTCCGGAGTAGCTGGGATTACAGGCACCTCCCACCATGCCCGGCTAATTTTTTTGTGTTTTTAGTAGAGATAGGGTTTCCCGTTGGCCAGACTGGTATCAAACTCCTGACCTCAGGTCATCCACCCGCCTCGGCCTTCCAAAGTGCTGGGATTACAGGCGTGAGCCACCGCGCCCAGCCGAGGGTGCCCATTTTTTAACACACACAAAGATACTGTGAATGCTAGAAGTGGTCCAAAGGACCATTCGTCTTCCTTAAAAACAATCTCAGAATAACGACCCATGTTAGGAATTAAATACTACCAGTTTTTCTCCATTCTTTCAATATATCGTACAATACACAGAATAGCTCTGACAAATATAGGTAGAAGAGAACATAGTTTTGCATAAGTAAGTAAGCAACCACTGACTTCATTTTGAAATTCTGTTCCATCACTGGATCTCCACATAATCTATATCATCCCAATCATTAGCTAACAGACAAAAACTGCTCTACATACATGCACAATTCTCTCTTTCAAGAAAACCTATATACTATTTTTCCATCTTCCTTAAGGACAGCCAAATTTTCTTTGTTCTCTCTGAGGTGTGAAAAGCTGATCATCCCTGTGTATACAGCAAAGTAATTTCTGAGAATTGTAGCAAAACAAGATTGTATAGAGATTTTGCAGTCTATTGCAATTGACGGTACCTTTAGCTTAGGGATACCAGATAAAAATATTACAAATATATGCCACCACTCTCATCCTGCCTTCGATAACCATAACAATAACTTCTAAAATCTTTTCTTCTTGATGCATCTATAAACAATTAGCATGTCTTTGTTAAACTCTAATTGCTCTTCCTACACAGCTGTGTCACTGTACAGCTCAAGAAAGAGGGCATAACTGTTAAGACAGTTAATAATAAAATAATGCCATAACAAACTAAAAAGGCCTGGGGGGTTCAAGAAAAGCAGGTCTCCCTGACATCCCTTCGGAAAACCAGCATTTAAATGCTGAGCTTCTCTACCTTCTTCTTTTAAACCTAAGTCCTTAGTAAGAAGTGCAAGAATGTAGAGGTAAGAACATGGCCTCTTGAGATAGACTGCATTTGAATTTCAGCTCTTCCACTAATTAAATTGTGTGAATAGGACATACTACTCTACCTCTCTATGCCTCAGTATTCTCATCTGTAAAGTGGGGCTAATAATGATTCATACTGTTATGATAACTACATGACTTAATAAAGAACTTAGAAAAGCATCTTGGAGACATTAAATGCTCAATATACTTAAAGAAACAATATGTATTGCTTTTATGTATTGTATAACTTCCCATTAGAGGTGTGTTTGTTTTGTTTTGCTTTGTTTTGTTTTTTTAATTTTTAACTTTCCCCTGCAACCTAATTACATCTTTAGTGACTAGACAAAGCTAAGGTCTAGTATTTAAGTCTGCACAAACTACCTGCTAGTGCTTCAACAACACCATGGCTAAAGCAAAGGAAAAGAGTCTTTTTCTGGGAAACAGTTGCAAAGTGCTGGGGATATTCATTGAATGAGCCAAGTCTACTCTAAACCTTAGAGTTTTTCACCCTTCAAAGTGACACAATATAGGATGACAACATTCCCATCCCTTTCTACTTGAGAAACTCCAAAAGCTGTTTGTCCCAGAAATATCTTGACATGCTGGAAGTTTTCAGCTTCAGGAAATGAAATTTTCTGCAGTGGAGGATCGAGACATCTATAATTTTGACATGAAATTACTTCACTTAGTAGAGAAGAAAAACATTCTTCAAGAATAAAATCCTGAGATTAAATAACTCCAATATATTTTAACCCACATTTGGTCTCTATCTGTATGTCCCCATAATCATACAACTTATTTGTCAAATTTAATGACCAAAAATACAGTTTCCACACTGAATCAGCTAAGCTGCCTTTGATTGTTAGTAACTGAATCTCTCACCAGCAGTGGATTAATGATAAGCAGATTTCATTTTTCACAAAAGGCTATAGTAAGTGGCTTACTTCTTCCTGACTTTCTGCCATCCTCAGGAGATTGGCATTCCCATCCTCAGGCTCTTTGTCTCATGGTCACAAGGTGGTTGCCTCAGCTTCACATCATAAACTCACATAGCAGAATCCAAAGAAAGAGGGAAGGAAAGAAGGCTCTTCTTGGACATTTTTCTATTTCTCTTTTCAAGAAGCACCCCTCACCTCAACCCAGCAGTCTTGACCTTATATTTCATTGGCCAGAATTGCCTAACATGGACAGTCCTGGCTGCAAGAAAATGTGGCAAATTATTGGGTATTTCCAGACTTTATCATGGGAAGAGGAAAAAGAGGAAAAGAAATGGCTATTGAGTAGGCAACAACCACATCTGCCACACCTGCTTATAGATTATATTCTTTCCCTGGTTTTTCTTCTGCAAAACTCTTAATTATTATTTAAGAAAAATTGTGTCTGTTACTTTCTTGGTAAACCTCCTCTGATCCAGCCCTAGGCAGTGTTGAGTGTTCATTCTTCAGTGATTTGATAGCACTTTGCATACATGTACATGAACATGTACCACTTGGCACTGTGATGGTTGTTGGTATTTGTTTCCCCATTGCAGAGTGAACTGGAATGGGAAACATTATCTTAGCCGCTATATCCCAAATGTCTATGGCAATATGCTGGAAAAAATTAGACCGAATCATTTAAACTGTAATGATGGAATTATTCCTAAAGATCACACATACGTTTTACTATATTAGGCAGCATGTAAAATCACTAAATAATTTTCTGAAAGAAATTAAATGTAAGGGTCAAATTGGTTATATTGATGATCATCCAGTTAACTAGAGTCACTCTTTTTCAACAAGATTTTCTCTGGAATAACAAACAAAAGAGAGAAAAAAAATAACATACAGTGTCCACCCTGGCTCTACCCCCAGGAACAGGGCTTTTCAAAACTTCAGAATGTGAACTGCATGGCTCTCAAATGCCTGGGCTCATTATACAAGCTTTTCTTCCTGATGTCCAGGGCCATAAAAACAATGACGAACCCAGTAACACCAAGTATCCAGGTGTAGGACAAGAAATAAGCAAGGTGAGCCTAGAATATCTTGTCCTATCAGATAGCATAGAAGCTAAAAGAGATTAGCGGAGTCATATCAAAATAACTGACGCCTGTCTCCTTGGCTTGCAGATGGCCATCACCTTGCTTGTCCTCACACGGTCTTTTCTCTGTGTGTGACCATCCCTGTTTCTCTCCTCATGTCCAATTTTCCTCTTCTTATAAGGGCACCAGTCAAATTGGATTGGAGCCCACCCTATTGACCTTATTTAATTTAATCACCTCTTTCAAGGACTTATCTTCAAATACAGTAACATTCTGAGGTACAGAGGTTGAAGCTCTAAAGCTTCAACATATTAATTTGGCGGGTGGACACAATTCAGCCATAACAGCTGCCGTACTTAGCAATCCTACATCATGACCTAACATTCCGGAAATTTGTCTGACTAGCCAACCTTTCTCCACAAACCTAAAAAAAAGCCAAGAATTGAGTCAAGTTTGGTGGGGGCACTTCCTTTACCTTTGCTCCCAACAGATTCTAGGTGTCCAAAAAGTCAAATCAGGTCTAAAAGATATTCTGCCTAGAAGAAAACAATAATTTTGTATAGAGATGAGTTATTTTTTTAAAGTCTCACAAATTGGGGGGTGCAGTTTCTCATCCAAATCCAATGAACTTCTCATAGCCATAGCTTGAACAACCAATGTCTTTCTGACTTTGCTTGAGGCACCTTATCCCATGCAGAGAATGATGTGGGCAGAGAAAACATATCTTTGCCTGCATATAAGGTTGCAAATGGTCAACATGAAGCCCTCTGTGTACCATCTGCATTAACAGGGAGTGACATAGGAAACTTCCTGCCAGGAGCAGCAACAGAGCTTACCCTCCAGTGCCCAACCATCCCGCAAATGGCCCTCATACATGTACTCTCTACCTGAATTCCCTGCCAACAACTTGTTCAAGGGTTCAGCAGGAACAAGCAGAGCATTCTGTTCACAGGTGGTTTGGTTTGTGTCCTGTTCCAAATTTTCTAGGCACCTAAACAAATCACAGCCCTCCTCCCTCTCTCATCATTCTGCCAATGAGATACAAAATTGTGGTTGTTTCATGGGGCATTGTTTTGCTACCTAAAATGAGGTTATATTATCAAGGACTCCCCCACCCCTATCCTTTATGAGAGCTTACTTAATCCAAGGTCTCATCTAATCAAATATATTGGCTAAGCTGGCACTATTGTGGGCTCTAAACCAGACCACTGAAGCCTGTCAGATCCACCTGCATTGTGCTTTACCTTCTCACATCAGAAAAAATGTAGGAAGATTTTTTTTCCAAAACAGTTCTGCCCAAATTTGTATATTTGTATTAGGATTTGCAGAAGTTGGTAATTTCTAGATTTCTCCTTATTATAACTTATGAATACAAAAGTATCCTTGCTCCTTAATTCATCAGACTGACATAATGGGTTATATATGTTACACCTTCTCTCTTCATAAGACCACCAAGATTCCAGCAACCACAACTCCCAATTATTCTGTTTTCCTGAGTTCCCCACAAACAATTAGTCCAAAACAATCTTACCAAGTAAGACCTTGGAAAAGTCAATATTCAAGGTCACTGGAAAGAAGCTAGAGCATGAAGTCTTACAGACAAAGCTGTGGGAAGAAGGAAAAGACCTGAATATTCTCATGTTGGAGAGAACAGCTCCAGTGGCATTGACACTGGGAGCAGAGAAGGGGGTGTGCATGAGAGGACTGGGAGGTGATTAGCCTGGAGTGTGGTTGCAGAAGGTATCCTTGTCCCCGCCATGCTCTGCTACAGAGAACTTCTGCCCTTGTGCTATCCAGGCTGTGGACCACAAGTCTTAGAAATCAGAAATCTGGGCTTTGATATGGGCACCTGTCAGCTGAGCAAAGGAAACTGTGGGAAACTCTTCTCAATCCTTCCTCTTAGATACAGCAGAAGCATAGAAAGAACCTACATTTCGGAGTCAGGAGAGCTTGGTTTCTAATATTTTACCTTCTACTTGCTATATTTGTAGCTATCGGCAAATAACTTTCCTGAATCTCCATGTTCTTACATGTAAAATGAAGATAATCCCCTCAGAAGGTTATTTGTTTGAGGATTAAATTATATATTGTAGGTAAAGTACCTGCCATGTGGTACAGCTCAATAGATTGTTTTCCTTCCAGAAAAAGTCCTGAGAGTCAAGACAGAAGACAGAGAATCATTGACCAAGACATCTTTTTAATTATTTAATAACAGGAAGCATAGCATATCTAAGAAGAGACAAACATTTCTGTAGTACCAAAACAATGTGAGAAATAAGATTAAAATGTATTAAATTGTGTCAACAAGAAACTTTACATTTAATTCTTTCATCTCCACATTTCAATGAAAGATTTTCAGTAATCATGAAATATAACAAAAAGCTCTGAGGTTGGGAGAAATGCAGCCATTTGTCTTTTGCAGCCTTCTTTGGCTTCTAAGTCAACACCATCAGCATAGTATTTTTAATGCTAAGACACAGTCCAGATGTCCAATTCCTTGCAGGAGACCCTATGTGACTCCCACGCCAGCCCATACAGTTATTCTCTAGGATCCAGATAATGGCTGACCGTGGTTCTAAACTGTGGCTGACCAGGCCACACTCCAGATCAGAATCTTAAACAGTTTATTTTTAAATCTCCCTAGATAGTTCTGATTTGAGAACTCTGGTCTGCAATATTAGCAGAAAGGTGGTTGAGGAGGTTCCTGGGAGGCAAAAAGACTGTCCTGCCATCTGACATTGAGGCTGCCAAGGAAACATGTCATAAAAATGGAGCCAAGTTCATGGCAGAATAAGTCTCAGAAGAATGTGAGCAAAAACAAAAGTTAACTAATCTGTAAAAACATCTTTCTAATTTAATAACAGACCCTCTGTTATGTCTCCTGGCAATGCTAAAATAAAAGTCAAAATACTTTAGCTAATATAAAAATGGAATCAACCTAAATGCCTTTCAGTAGAGAAGTGGATAAATAAAGCTTGGCATTTTCACACATATATGGCAGTTGAAAATGCATGAATTAGATCTACATGTATTAACATGGGTAGATCTTGGAAACATAATGTTGAGTTAGTTGGATGATGCATAAGATAAAATACCACTTAAACAAAAATTTAAGTGTAAAACTATATATACTATTTTAGATATATATGTAGCAAAAGTATAAAAATATAGACCAGAGAGGTAAAAATAATAACATTAATAATAGTTACCTCTAGCAGGGGAGGGGACTAGAAAGGTATAAAAACTAATTTTAGTGCAGAAACTTTAATGGAATATTCACTCCAGAAAAAAAAATAGCCATAAAAACATTCTTAGAATAACTGGGGAAATTTTAATAATAGACTGGACAATAGATAACTTCATTCAGTTATTGATAATTATTTTAGAAATGATGAAGTTATGATTTGTGTAGAAATCTTATTCTTAGAAGATGGATATCGAAGTATAATGAGCTCTACAACTTACTTTTAAATGGTGCAGCAAAGCTTATGTGATATGTGTACACACATATACCAAAGAGACAAAATCACCTTAGGGCTTGGTAAACTGAAAAGAATACAGAAGTCCCTAAGTGGCAGCCTGAGATAACTGCAGCAATGGCCATTTCCAGGAGTACTGCAGATGAAGGTTTATGTTTCCAGGTCCAAAAACCCCAGTAAGAGAGTGAAGGCCAGAGTCCCCAGGCTTGTTTCCCTAGTCTAGACTACACATGGATGATTTCTACTACCTGCAGGACCAGTCTGTCCTCTCAGCACACTTTGCTTTCTGCCATTATAACTCTGATTAACACAGAGAGCAATTTTCTGTTTATTTGTCTCTATCCCATACCAGTCCATGAGCATCATGAGAACAGAGACCACATCTGTCTTTTTGCTATTGTACTTCAAGCACAGACTACAACAATGCATGGCACATAGTAAGTACTTAATAATTATTTGTTTAATTAATCTATTATGGCCATCTTCCAAGAGGAAGATGCCCCATCTCTTCTCCTCAGCTACCCAGCCATGCAACAAAACACAACAGGTCCTAGAAATAGGCCCTTTAGAGTTCATTTCAGATCAACAACATTTGTTAAAGTGCTGTGTACACTGAAATCACAGTTGAAGCTGCCATGATCCCTGTGCCTGTCCAACAGTTACTTTTAGAAGTGTCTATTTGCACAAGATGGCCAAATAGGAACAGCTCCAGTCTACAGCTCCCAATGTGAGCAACACAGAAGATGGGTGATTTCTGCATTTCCAACTGAGGTACTGGGTTCATCTCACTGGGGCTTGTTGGACAGTGGGTGCAGGACAGTGGGTGCAGCCCACCGAGCATAAGCCAAAGCAGGGCAAGGCATCACCTCACCCAGGAAGCACAAGGGCTCAGGGAATTCCCTTTCCTAGCCAAGGGAAGCTGTGACAGATGGCACCTGGAAAATTGGGTCACTCCCACCACAATACTGTGCTTTTCCAACAGTCTTAGCAAACGGCACAACAGGAGATTATATCCTGCGCATGGCTTGGAGGGTCCCATGCCCACGGAGCCTCACTCATTGCTAGCACAGCAGTCTGAGATGGAACTACAAGGCAGCAACAAGGCTGGGGGAGGGGCGCCCACCATTGCCGAGGCTTGAGTAAGTAAACAAAGCGTCCAGGAAGCTCAAACTGGGTAGAGCCCACAGCAGCTCAAGGAGGCCTGCCTGCCTCTGTAGACTCCACCTCTGGGGGCAGGGCATAGCCGAACAAGAGGCAGCAGAAACCACTGCAGACTTAAATGTCCCTGTCTGACAGCTTTGAAGAGAGCAGTGGTTTTCCCAGCACTGAGCTTGAGATCTGAGAATGGCCAGACTGCCTCCTGAAGTGGGTCCCTGACCCCCAAATAGGCTAACTGGGAGGCACCCCCCAGTAGGGGCAGACTAACACCTCACATGGCCGGGTACCCCTCTGAGACAAAGCTTCCAGAGGAACGATCAGGCAGCAACATTTGCTGTTCAGCAATATTCTCTGTTCTGCAGCCTCAGCTGCTGATACCCAGGAAAACAGGGTCCGGAGTGGACCTCCAGCAAACTCCAACAGACCTGCAGCTGAGGGTCCTGACTGTTAGAAGGAAAACTAAAAAACAGAAAGGACTTCCACACCAAAACCCATCTGTCGATCACCATCATCAAAGACCAAAGGTAGATAAAACCACAAAGATGGGGCAAAACAGAGCAGAAAAGCTGAAAATTCTAAAAATCAGAGCACCTCTCCCCCTCCAAAGGAACACAGCTCCTCACCAGCAACGGAACAAAGCTGGATGGAGAAGGACTTTGACAAGTTGAGAGAAGAAGGCTTCAGATGATCAAACTTCTCCAAGCTAAAGGAGGAAGTTTAAACCCATTGCAAAGAAGCTAAAAACCTTGAAAACAGATTAGACGAATGGATACCTAGAATAACCAGGGTAGAGAAGTCCTTAAATGACCTGATGGAGCTGAAAACCACGGCACGAGAACTATGTGACGAATGCACAAGCTTCAGTAGCCGATTCGATCAACTGGAAGAAATAGTATCAGTGATTGAAGATCAAATGAATGAAATGAAGCAAGAAGAGAAGTTTAGAGAAAAAAGAGTAAAAAGAAATGAACAAAGCCTCCAAGAAATATGGGACTATGTGAAAAGACCAAATCTACATCTGATTGCTGTACCTGAAAGTGACGAGGAGAATGAAACCAAGTTGGAAAACATTCTGCAGGATATTAACCAGGAGAACTTCCCCAACCTAGCAAGGCAGGCCAACATTCAAATTCAGAAAATACAGAGAACACCACAGAGATACTCCTTGAGAAGAGCAACTCCAAGACACATAATTGTCAGATTCACCAAAGTTGAAATGAAGGAAAAAATGTTAAGGGCAGCCAGAGAAAAAGGTCAGGTTACCCACAAAGGGAAGCCCATCAGACTAACAGTGGATCTCTCGGCAGAAACTCTACAAGCCAGAAGAGAGCGGGGGCCAATAGTCAACATTCTTAAAGAAAAGAATTTTCAACCCAGCGTTTCATATCCAGCCAAACTAAGCTTCATAAGTGAAGGAGAAATAAAATCCTTCACAGATAAGCAAATGCTGAAAGATTTTGTCACCACCAGGCCTGCCCTACAAGAGCTCCTGAAGGAAGCA
This sequence comes from Homo sapiens, assembly GCF_000001405.40. Lineage (NCBI taxonomy): Eukaryota > Metazoa > Chordata > Mammalia > Primates > Hominidae > Homo > Homo sapiens. The sequence goes on along the minus strand of NC_000006.12, from coordinate 99,674,964 downwards.
CTAAACATGGAAAGGAACAACTGGTACCAGCCACTGCAAAAACATGCCAAATTGTAAAGACCATCGATGCTAGGAAGAAACTGTGAGCAAAATAACAACTAACAAGCAAAATAACCAGCTAACATCATAATGACAGGATCAAATTCACACATAACAATATCAACCTGAAATGTAAATGAGCTAAATGCTCCAATTAAAAGACACTACTGGCAAATTGGAAAAAGAGTCCAAGACCCATCACTGTGCTGTATTCAGGAGACCCATCTCACATGCAGAGACACACATAGGCTCAAAATAAAGGGATGGAGGAAGATCTACCAAGCAAATGGAAAACAAAAAAAAAGGCAGGGGTTGCAATCCTAGTCTCTGATAAAACAGACTTTAAACCAACAAAGATCAAAAGAGACAAAGAAGGCCATTACATAATGGTAAAGGGATCAATTCGACAAGAAGAGCTAACTATCCTAAACATATATGCACCTAATACAGGAGCGCCCAGATTCATAAAGCAAGTCCTTAGAGACCTACAAAGAGACTTAGACTACCACACAATAATAACGGGAGACTTTAACACCCCGCTGTCAACATTAGACAGAACAACAAGACAGAAAATTAACAAGGATATCCAGGAACTGAACTCAGCTCTGCATCAAACAGACTTAATAGACATCTACAGAATTCTCCACCACAAATTAACAGAATATACATTCGTCTCAGCACCACATCACACTTATTCCAAAATTGACCACATAGTTGGAAGTAAAGCACACCTCAGCAAATGAAAAAGAACAGAAATTATAACAAACTGTCTCTCAGACCACAGTGCAATCAAACTAGAACTCAGGATTAAGAAACTCACTCAAAACCGCTCAACTACATGGAAACTGAACAACCTGCTCCTGAATGACTACTGGGTACATAACAAAATGAAGGCAGAAATAAAGATGCTCTTTGAAACCAACGAGAACAAAGACACAACATACTAGAATCTCTGGGACACATTTAAAGCAGTGTGTAGAGGGAAATTTATAACACTAAATGCCCACAAGAGAAAGCAGGAAAGATCTAAAATTGACACCCTAACATCACAATTAAAAGAACTAGAGAAGCAAGAGCAAACAAATGCAAAAGCTAGCAGAAGGCAAGAAATAACTAAGATCAGAGCAGAACTGAAGGAGATAGAGACACAAAAAACCCTTGAAAAAATCAATGAAACCAGGAGCTGGTTTTTTGAAAAGATCAACAAAATTAATAGACCACTAGCAAGACTAATAAAGAAAAAAAGAGAGAAGAATCAAATAGATGCAATAAAAAATGATAAAGGGGGTATCGCCACCAATCCCACAGAAATGCAAACTACCATCAGAGAATATTATAAACATCTCTAAGCAAATAAACTAGAAAACCTAGAAGAAATGGATAAATTCCTCAACACATATACCCTCCCAAGACTAAACCAGGAAAAAGTTGAATCTCTGAATAGACCAATAACAGCCTCTGAAATAGAGGCAATAAATAATAGTCTACCAACCAAAAAAAGTCCGGGACCAGATGGATTCACAGCTGAATTCTACCAGAGGTACAAGGAGGAGCTGGTACCATTCCTTCTGAAACTGTTCGAATCGATAGAAAAACAGGGAATCCTCCCTAACTCATTTTATGAGGCCAGCATCATCCTGATACCAAAGCCTGGCAGAGACACAACAGAAAAAGAGAATTTTAGACCAATATCCCTGATGAACATTAATGCAAAAATCCTCAATAAAATACTGGCAAACCAAATCCAGCAGCACATCAAAAAGCTTATTCACCATGATCAAGTGAGCTACATCCCTGGGATGCAAGGCTGGTTCAACATACACAAATCAAAAAACGTAATCCAGTGTATAAACAGAACCAAAGACAAAAACCACACGATTATCTCAATAGATGCAGAAAACGCCTTTGACAAAATTCAATAGCCCTTCATGCTAAAAACTCTCAATAAATTAGGTATTGATGGGACATATCTCAAAATAATAAGAGCTATTTATGACAAACCCACAGCCAATATCATACTGAATGGGCAAAAACTGGAAGCATTCCCTTTGAAAACTAGCACAAGACAGGGATGCCCTCTCTCACCACTCCTATTCAGCATAGTGTTGGAAGTTCTGGCCAGGGTAATCAGGCAGGAGAAAGAAATAAAGGGTATTTAATTAGGAAAAGAGGAAGTCAAATTGTCCCTGTTTGCAGTTGACATAATTGTATATTTAGAAAACCCCATCGTCTCAACCCAAAATCTCCTTAAGCTGATAAGCAACTTCAGCAAAGTCTCAGGATACAAAATCAATGTGCAAAAATCACAAACATTCTTATACACCAATAACAAACAGAGAGCCAAATCATGAGTGAACTCCCATTCACAAATGCTTCAAAGAGAATAAAATATCTAGGAATCCAACTTACAAGGGATGTGAAGGACCTCTTCCAGGAGAACTACAAACCACTGCTCAATGAAGTAAAAGAGGACACAAACAAATGCAAGAACATTCCATGCTCAAGAATAGGAAGAATTAATATCGTGAAAATGGCCATACTGCCCAAGGTAACTTATAGATTCAATGCCATCCCCATCAAGCTACCAATGACTTTCTTCACAGAATTGGAAAAAACTACTTTAAAGTTCACATGAAACCAAAAAAAGAGCCTGCATTGCCAAGACAATCCTAAGCCAAAAGAACAAAGCTGGAGGCATCACGCTACCTGACTTCAAACTATACTACAAGGCTACAGTAACCAAAACAGCATAGTACAAGTACTAAAACAGAGATATAGACAAATAGAACAGAACAGAGCCCTCAGAAATAATACCACACACCTACAACCATCTGATTTTGACAAACCCGACAAAAACAAGCAATGGGGAAAGGATTCCCTATTTAATAAATGGTGCTGGGAAAACTGGCTAGCCATATGTAGAAAGCTGAAACTGGATCCCTCCCTTAGACCTTAAACAAAAAATAATTCAAGATGGATTAAAGACTTAAACGTTAGACCTAAAACCATAAAAACCCTAGAAGAAAACCTAGGCAATACCATTCAGGACATAGGCATGGGCAAGGACTTCATGTCTAAAACACAAAAAGCAATGGCAACAAAAGCCAAAATTGACAAATGGCATGTAATTAAACTAAAGAGCTTCTGCACAGCAAAAGAAACTACCATCAGAGTGAACAGGCAACCTACAGAATGGGAGAAAAATTTTGCAGGCTACTCATCCGACAAAGGGCTAATATCCAGAATCTACAAAGAACTCAAACAAATTTACAAGAAAACAACAACCCCATCAAAAAGTGGGCAAAGGATATGAACAGACACTTCTCAAAAGAAGACATTTATGCAGCCAACAGACACATGAAAAAATGCTCATCATCACTGGCCATCAGAGAAATGCAAATCAAAACCACAATGAGATACCATCTCACAGCAGTTAGAATGGCGATCGTTAAAAAGTCAGGAAACAACAGGTGCTGGAGAGGATGTGGAGGAATAGGAACACTTTTATACTGTTGGTGGGACTGTAAACTAGTTCAACCATTGTGGAAGACAGCGTGGCTATTCCTCAAGGATCTAGAACAGAAATACCATTTGACCCAGCCATCCCATTACTGAGTATATACCCAAAAGATTATAAATCATGCTGCTGTAAAGACACATGCACACGTATGTTTATTGTGGCACTATTCAAAATAGCAAAGACTTGGAACCAACCCAAATGTCCATCAATGATAGACTGGATTAAGAAAATGTGGCACATATACACCATGGAATACTATGCAGCCATAAAAAGGATGAGTTCATGTCCTTTGTAGGGACATGGATGAAGCTGGAAACCTCATTCTCAGCAAACTATCTCAAGGACAAAAAACCAAACACCACATGTTCTTACTCATAGGTGGGAATTGAACAATGAGAACACTTGGACACAGGAAGGGGAACATCACATACCAGGGCCAGTCGTGGGGTGGGGGAGGAGGGAGGGATAGCATTAGGAGAAATACCTAATGTAAATGACGAGTTAATGGGTGCAGCACACCAACATGGCACATGTATACATATGTAACAAACCTGCACGTTGTGCACTTGTACCCTAGAACTTAAAGTATAATAAAAAAAGAAGTGTTTATTTGCACCCATAAAAAATGCTTGCATGGTATTATTTAATTAATCTAAATAGTCTTTACTTCCCTACTTACCCAAAAGCATTTAAAACATCTCTCTGAAAGGATAGCGCTAGACAGACACACTTACCATCTTTTGTTTATTTACAAATGTAAATAAGTTAGATTCAGGGTTTCTTTATTCCGTAAGTCAGTTATAGACTCAGTAACCAGAAATTCATCTCATATATGACATAATACTTGGTGGTGGTGTCCTCAATATTAAGTTTTCATAGACAGATATACTTGCTGCATATATTCACAACTTAAGTACATATATTTCATTCAAAAAGCTACCTGGAATACTTCCAGTTGAGGAGCCAAGATAATTCTCATTCCCTTTTAGTGGCTAAGAAAGTGTCCAGGAAGATCAGCCTGGCTGACAAGGAAGGCAGTACCATAGAAGAGACACTGGCATGAGGGGATACCCAGAAGAAAAGGTCAGTAAAATACATCAATAATCAAATTCCCTAAAAAATCAGCAGATGAGGAAATATCAAAGCTATATTTCAGCAAGTAAATATGATTCTCATAAAATATGGAAAGATAAAGGACAGAGAGAAGAAACGAGAGGAGAGTAAAGAAAGAAGAAGCAGTGCTACACGATCAACAAAATGTGCAGTTAGGAAGTACTTTGGGAGACATGTCAGTAGGTACAGCAGGTTGATAAGCCAGACCTTCCTACCTAACTCAAACTGTCCTGCTTCACAAAATCGATGTGTGAGTAAAATGTCTATTAACTGAATTACATATTAATGTGTGAGAGGAGTTTGCCATGTGAAGTATTTCTTTTGGTAAACTATATTTCTTTTTCTTTTCTTTTTTTTTTTTTTTTTTGAGGTGGGATCTCACTCCATTACCCAGGCTGGAGTGCAATGGCGTAATCTTGGCTCACTACAACCTCCACCTCCTGGGCTCAAGCAATCCTCTCACATCAACCTCCCAAGTAGCTGGAAACAAAGGCATGGGCCACCATGCCTGGATAATTTTTTCTATTTTTAGTAGAGATGAGGTTTCACCATGTTGCCCAGGCTGGTCTTGAACTTCTGAGCTCAAGTGGTCCACCTGCCTCAGCTTCCCAAAGTGCTGGGATTACAGGTCTGAGCCACCACACCTAGCCTAGGTAAACTATGTTTCTTTAATGAAGAATCATTTAGTAATGTGTATTTTGTCCCAATAGGTCTTTATCAATCCATTTTATTAAAAATATAGAACACTTGCAATTTCACTTTTCTCTGAATGGTAACCAAAATATCAAAATGCTCTTCCCAGAAATCCTGAAATTTCTTGACAATCTTTTTTATTTGTTATAAGGAAACCAACACTATTTAACTCTTTTTTTTTTTTTTTTTTTTTTTGACACAGAGCCTCACACTGTCGCCAGGCCAGAGTGTAGTGGTGCGATCTCAGCTCACTGCAACCTCACTCCCAGGTTCAAGCGATTCTCCTGCCTCAGCATCCCAAGTAGCTGGGACTACAGGTACACACCACCACACCCAGCTAATTTTTGTATTTTTAGTAGAGACAGGGGTTTCACCGTGTTGGCCAGGATGGTCTCGATCTCCTGACCTCGTGATCTGCCTGCCTCGGCCTCCCAAAATGCTGGATTACAGGTATGAGCCACTGCACCCGGTCCCTTTACTCATTTTTTAAACCATGAAATTGCAAACAAATCCTCTTAAAAATTAGAAAGCTGTGATGTTTTTATTTAAAAGTAAAGATACTTCCCAATTAACATAAATACTGGTTACAATCTATGATTTCCAATAAACCTTCATGGAAATACATTTCTAGTATATTTACTAACTCCATTCCCTGAAAATACTTTAAACCTTTTATTTTGAAAGTTTTTAATTAAAAGTATGTTATACTTTCCTCAGGAAATAACTTTTGCAATGTAAAATTAAATACATCATCTAGATTAAAACAAGGAAGTTTTTTAAATTTTAAAAACAGACTTTTGAACATAAGGTACAGCAGCAATAATCTTTTGCCAAAAAAAAAAAAGAATTCTGAAAGATATCAGCCTTCAGGAAGGTCCCTCTACAGCAACCTGTGGCCTGCCCACGAACCTTAATTAGTTTGAGAGATCATGATATAAAGCCTCTTCAGACTGGATAGGAGTGGTAGCTCTCTGTGGAGAAATAGAGCAAGCCTTTGTACCAGGTAATTTAAGGAGCAGCAACAGGCTAATATGCAGACAAGAGAGGGTGTAGCATGTGGTGTGGTTCTCAGCAGAGCAGCAGGCCTCTAATGAGGCCCAGTAGTGGATAGCAGCTGGTAAACTTGGGGCACAAAATAGGAGGCTCTGAAGGCCTTTATCTGCTAACAAAAGACTGAAAATTGCTCAAAGGCCTGAGTGGGCAATGAGAACATGTTCATATGGTGAGCCAGTATATAAATTTTCAAAACAAATATTACAATATATGAATTTACATTGCAATGACAATCAGTAGAGTTCTGTGATTGTAGACATTTTGGCAAGAAAAGATACAAGAATTGGCTGTTAAATTTTGTGTAAGAAAATCACCACCTGCTCTTCTGTCCGTTCTGGAACGCCCAGACTGAGATGCATACAGTGTATGTTGTGTCTATTTGTGTAACCATGACATACATTCTGTCTGCAACCCCGGACAACTGACGATTAAAATATGATATGCTTTATAGAGTAGTACAAAATGAATGGAATTTATGCATGATGAAATCACTTCCTACTTACCCAAAAAGAAATTAATAATGTAACAGCAAATCATATAAACCACAAGAAAATGCTCAAATCTTTGTGATAAGAGAACAAGAGTGATCCTAGATTTTGATGAATGATCCTACATAGGTTTTTGTGGATCCTTACATCCTTTTCTGTCCTCTGTACAGTTTGTTTTCTAACAGCAAGCATTCTCTTCAGTAGTTCTACTGGCAGGGTGGCACAACCAGGGATTCCCAAAGGAAAACCACATGTCTGGATACTAAATATACTATTTAGTTAAATATTGAACTTTTTTAGCACTGATGTGAACAATCTCAGAAGTTTGTTTCTTGCATTCTATATCTCTTGAGAAAACAGTTTTTCCAACTTTATGTGTATGGATACACAGGATAAATTTTCAAGGAAAAGGAGAGCATATCTTGCACCCATACAGATCCAAAGCAAAGAAAGACTCAGTCTTAAAAACACATGTCAACAGCTGGGTATGGTGGCAAGTACCTATAGTCCTAGCTTCCCGGGAGGCTGAAGCAGGAGAATCACTTCAGCCAGGAGTTTCAGGCCAGCCTGGGAAACATAGCAAGGCCCTATATCAAAAAGAAAAACAACAACAACAAAAAAAAAAACACACGTCACAGGTCATGCATCTCCTACTCTTGTAATAATCTGAAGCACTCATTTAATTTTAGAAGAACCCCCTTTGCATTTCTTAACACCCTACTTGCAAGGCTTTGTTGTTCTTGAAATTTGTGGACCACCATAATTGTACCTCCATGATTTATAATTTGAAATGATTTCTTATTCACATTTTTTTCCAACCTCCCCACATCTAATTCTTCATGTTTTTCTAGTCCTTCATCTGATGTCTCACTTCCGTAGCCATCCTGTAGGTCAGTCCCCACCACCTCAGCTCTGGGTCAGGGCTAAGAAGACAGGCTACTCCCTGTCTGGCGTCTCTATCTTGTCAATACTGTTCAGCCCTGGAGTGCCTCAAACTCTATGCTCTCTGCTGTGTTACTCCTTGACCGAAATCCTGCAGTGGCTCCTTATTTCCTGAAGGGTCTGTCTAACGTGGAGGCTTTCCACCAACTGTCCTCGAGTTCACACTTGTCTGAACTTTCCTCCCAGTGCATCCACTTTCTGGCAAGCACTACTTCCCAAAGCAACTCTCTGCCTCTTTATGGAAGCACTTCAACCTACTTCTCCCATCAGGCCTGCTTCTATCTCCTATCTACTCATGCCACCTCCCCTACAAGTGTTTCCTAACTATTCAACATATGTCTTAGTACTCAAAGTAGATAGTAGGCAGGAAATTAATTTTCTGCTGGCACTCTAGTAATTTAAAAAACATGTATTGAGGGCCCTGAATGAAAAAAAAAAGTACAATGTTGTTCATTCCCAGTAATCTAGATAGAGACATTTGAGATGCAAGTTATAACCCACATCCTAGATCAGATATTATTTTTAAAGTTTCTTCCTCCATTAGGATGATTTATGCTACAGGCTCTGTCCACCAGAGAAGAAAATTACATTGACCCAACAATTACAAATTCTTTCACCTCACACAATACACACACATCCTTTCTCTCATTCTCTCTCTCTGTCTCTCCTCAGCAATGCACTGCATTAAAACTCATTCATTGTTCACAACTTCGTATGTAACAGCCTCACTGGAAAGTGTCCTATCATTCATTGGTGAATAGGGTAACTATTCAATCAACAGAAAATGTGAGCAATAATTAGCCTGGAAGAGGACGAGGACATGCAGGCTCACCCTTTTCCTGCTCAGACCACGTACTCCCAGGCAGAGTACGCCTTCATTCAAGTTAGGTGTTGGTGCCCACGACAGAACATGGAGAAGAAACCTGAGATAAGCACAGTTTACCTCCATAAATTGCATATATACACAGCAAGTTTATTCTTCCAGCCAGGAATACTTTTGTTTTCATTCATCGTTATTACTAAAGACACAAATTTTTGTTTATAATTCATGCCATAGTAAATTGATAATTTTGGGCTCTGAAAACAGATTCTTGCCTCTGATTTGTTTCAGCAAATGACTGAAGCAAAGCACAGGCGAGAGCAAGTGCGCCCAGCTCCCCCCACCTCTTCTCCCTCACACAGCCTCCCTCAAATCCTGATGAGCTGAGCCCATCAAAAGTCTCCAGTGTGTGATGTTCATTCAATTACAAAGTCCATTCGACTTGATTATGGATCATAATGAAAATACCCGCCTTAGGCTAGAGGAATGGCCCGGTCGGAGGTGAGAGAATAGGAGCCACTCGGCAGGGGCCAAGCAAAGCACCAGGCAGCCAGGGTTGGTGGCCTTAGGGGTCAGTCATTTGTCACAAGCCACAGTCAGTGAGGTTCTAGCAAAATTACCTAACCTCTGAGATGCCACACTGCAGCTCCCCTACTGACAGATGGAGCCCTTGGTTAAAATATTCCTGGGCTTTTGGTTAAGAGTTGGTCTTTTTACAAAGTTTATGTTTCAATTTCCTATTAGCAAATTGTTTTGACCCCTATAATAGTCATTTCTAAGACTGATTTGGCTCAGTGATAGTCTTCCTTTATATGCCCAATTTTACTAGGAAATCCCAACACTAATGACTATTAGCTTTTATTCCAGTGGTAAGGGTAGCACTCTTTCCAGATATCTTCTTTTGTAAGTGCTCAGTCCACTTATATTTGAAAATAACATTGTTAAGCATTCTCTTACTCACAAACTAGTTAGAATCCTCTACTGTACATAAAACAATGATAATTACCTTTCCAATGTCTTTCTTCTCTACTGGGCAAGAAGCTGCAAGAAGACAAGAAGGAAAGAATCTCCTCTGTTTTGCTAATCAACATATGCCCAGGCCCTAAGACAATGCCTGCTCACAAAAAAAAAAAAAAAAATGTTGAATAGTTACATCATAAAAATGACATATTAACTTCAACCTCAGTGCTATCATCAAGATATCTATGTCCAACATTTTAATATGAGACAGTGTTTTCCAGGTGTTCCTAAAGCTGTCCTCACAGGGCTAACAAGAATTCTGGATAGAAATAGAGTTATAATTAAGCATTTATCAGGCTGCACTTTGGCCCACTTCCTTGTAAGGGAAAGTCACCATAGCACTAGATACTGACCATTTGCATCCCAAAGCTTCTATGGATAGGATTTCTGATGTTAGAATCATAAGGCTTTTGTTTAAGAATTGCTAAAGCAGATCCTGAATTCTAGCAGAACAGCTGATGCTGATCATTTTAAAGACCCCCCACAGAGGAACTGAATCAGCCTGAGAATACAGTTTCTTCACCTCCCAGTCCCATAACTTCACACTGCACTCTGACCAACCAATGATCTCCACACTTTGACTCACTCCAAAATCCTTAAAAATCTTAACCCCAAGCCTTTCAAATAGATGGATTTGAAGATTCCTCCCATTTCCTCTTTTGGCTGTCCTATATTTAAACCTCTTTTTCTGCTCCAACCTGGAGTCTCAGCATATTGACTTGCTGTGCAACAGACCTATTACAGTTATATTCCTTAGCTTAGTCTAGTAAGACCAGTCATCATCAAAAATAAACCTTATTTAAACACAGAGGGTAGAGAAAAACCAGGAAAAATCCCAAGGGAATGGAAAACCTCACTCATGCCCCCTCAGCTTCCTATATCATGTGATATTTTTAATGACAGTGTGATTTTCCTCCTTGCTTCCCTTGGGTCCCAGCAAAGATAAAGGATGCCATTCTGCAGGAAGTCATCTAGCCTCAATTGAGTCTATGTGTGAACAAGATACTGGGATGCATTTCCTGACTTCTTTGGCCTCAAAGTTCATACTTCAGCAATACCAAATTACCTATAGCCTTACACTTCCATGCTTATGTCTGTAATCTGCCCTCTGCCTGGAAAACCTGCCCTCAATACCATGATCTTCTTCATTTGGCTATTTTCTATTTGTCCTTCAAGTCTCACTTCAGGTCGTTTCTTCCAGGAAGCCTTCCTTGACTGCCCTATGTTGGTCTCCATACCTGCCATAGAACACTGTGCTACCTCTGTCATCATACATCACATTATATTAACAGGATCCATTTATTTGCCTGTGTCATTCTAGATTTCTAGCTCTGAATGTGCAGGAATTGTGTCATCTTCTTAATTTCCTCAGCTCCTAACACAATGCTGGACAAAGAGTAGTTGTTCCATAAATATAATGGGCCAATAGCCTTTCCTTGAGAAGGGACAGAGATGGTGAGGCAGGACACATCCATGGACTATATACTCACCTGGAGAAGCAGCAAGGCGTGAGTGAGAGTGAGACTGTGGTGAAACAGAGCAAGGCCAAAAAGACTCTCAAGGCCTCATGTAGGCAGCTGGGAAGGAAGGGAGTGAAGAAGGAGGGATTGAGGACAATGGGCCCAACCCTTTCATCCAATTGATGGCATCAATTCAATCCAGTACATTAAGAAACTAAACAGACTGAAAATAAAACCAGTTCACAAAAATTCATAAATAATAGAGATAAACAAGAGGTCAGTATGGGACAAAATGGTCACTTAGATTACATAACTAACTTGTCAGAAAGGACACATACTCTTGCCAAGAAAGACCCTGGACCGTATGGACCACAATAAAGCCCTAGGGGATCCGAATGTTGAGCCACATTTTTCTGGTAATGGCAATTTTTGTTACTAACTGTATGACTTTCCATTTGAAAGGCCTGGCTTATCAAGGGAGGTAGAGAGTATTTCATTTTTGGCTCATTTACTACCACCTTTAATCACTGCCATAGTCACATTCTTACTTATTCTTACTTCTGCATAAAAGAGGCAGAATAAAGTTTCAAAAGGGCTCAAGGGCTCAAAGCATCGAGCATAAAAATCTTCATAAGACAACCTAAATCAAAAATAGCATACAGTTTACATTTCCCTTGAATCTCTATGACAATGAACTCTTTTTGCTGACTAATTAGTACCCAGTATGAGATTCATCATAAGAGTAGAGAGAATATTTGCTTTGTAAAATGCATTTTAAATTAAGCCATTTTTAAATGTGATTAAAATAAACAGGCTAAATCAGAATTCCAAAAAAAGAGCATTTTTAATACAAATTCCAGAAAATGTTAATAAATAAGGCTGATTGTAGGGTTCCAGGGTAAAATAAATTTTGGAAATACTGAATTATCTGTAGACAAGCAGGCTTCTTTGCTGCAGGACTTCTGAGAACCTTTGTTATGTTAATATGCATTATAAATCTCTAAAAGGATAATATATTATGCAACATTTTACCAGCATATTTGACTATAAACCCTTTTTCATGGCACATACTTTGGAAAGCCTAGGCTACATGCCCTGAAGGGTGACTAAATATTCCTGAACCAGTTGGTAGGTAGATAGCAGCTCGTGTTAGAAGAGGTAGATACTCTAGACCCTGAAACCATAGGCTAGCTTCACAGCTATCCATCCCCTTACAACACATAATAACCCTGGGCATGGTCTGCTTCCAGCTTCCCAGAAAACCCCAATAGAAGTAGCATATGTCAAGACAAACCAGCTGTAATCAAGCGACCTTCATCCTGGGACAAGAAGAATGGGAAATTAATTAGAGCAAGACACACTGATGTCAAAAATTCCCAAGGAAATCTTAACAAATACCTATTATCTGGTTACTCATCTTTCGACTAGATTGAAATGTCAAAGGAGAGCAAAACTGCACCAGAATTTTAAATAGGCCATCTAGTTTTATCCCAAACTGAATTAAATTGAAATTATGGATCAAAAGCACCATCAGAAAAACTATGAAAATTATGGCATATAAATTACTTTGGGAAAAAAATTGAAACAAGAAAAACCAGCAGCGCAGGAAAAATTATAGCAAATTGCAGTGTAGGCTGGAATGTCAGCAGACAGGACCCAGAGGCAAAAGGGTGAAGAGACATATTATAGTCAACTCTGATTTCCCAAGTTTTGCCACACATAAGGTCCCTCATAAGAAAAGCAGCCACTGGAACTGATTGCACAGAAGTTGCCTCACAATGTAGGTCAAGTGATGCAACCACACCTACCACAGCTAAATGGTCTAGGGATGAAGCTAAACCCAAAGGTGGTCATCTATAGGCCAAGTGCAGTGAAGAAAGACTAGGTTGGGAAAGTTGATTACTCTTTGCTTTGTCTTCTTTTAGATGGCAAATCCAATCTTCTGGGATTTGTAATTCCATTTTCTTTTTTTGAGATGGAGTCTCACTCTGTCGCGCAGGAGTGCAGTGGCGTGATCTCGTCTCACTGCAACCTCCACCTCCCAGGCGATTCTCCTGCCTCAGCCTCACAAGTAGCTGGGATTACAGGCACCTGCTACCATGCCAGGCTAATTTTTGTATTTTCAGTAGAGATGGGGTTTCGCCATGTTTGCCAGACTGGTCTTGAACTCCTGACCCCAAGTGATCCGCCCACCTCTGCCTCCCAAAGTGCTGGGATTACAGGCATGAGCCACCGCACCTAGCCTGAAATTCCATTTTCTAATGAAAATGGTTCTGACTTTGGGAGAAGATACATGAGCTGAAAAAATTTAGGTTGTAGATATAGAAAAAGTGGATTTACCTAATTATTCGATTTCCCTTCAAAGTCTAGAGATTGTCAGTCACATCTATTTCTCCTGTTCAATTGGTAAAATTTAGTTAATGTTATTTTTATAACTAAATGTTCAGTTTTCTCATTCCCCCAATAGAGGGATAGTATCTTCAAAACGGAATTTTTGTGAAAAGAGATATATTTTAACAACTATTATATTATCCATAGGAAAGGGAGACATTCTTACATGATATGGTTTCTCATTTATAATAAAAACACAGGCTGGGCACGGAGGCTTATGCCTGTAATGCCAACACTTTGGGAGGATGAGGGGGGTGAATCACTTGAGGTCAGGAGTTTGAGACCAGCCTGACCAACATGGTGAGATCCCATTTCTACTAAATACAAAAATTAGCTGGGCATGGTGGTGGGCGCCTGTAATCTCAGCTACTCAGGAAGCTGAGGCACAAGAATTGCTTAAACCCAGGAGGCAGAGGTTGCAGTGAGCCAAGATCATGCCACTGCACTCTGGCCTGGGAGACAGAGTGAGACTCCATCTCACAAAAAAAGAAAAAAGAAAAAAAAAGACATTAACCTATATTTTTCCTTATTCTATAAGTACCATCATAATATGCAGCCCAATATTCATTTTTAAGTACCTCCTCCAAACTTATTGAAGTTATTCATCTATTTTCAAACCACATTACATTTTTAAACAGGTCTTTAAATAAAATCAGCCACTTTCCCCAATGAGGCTCTTTCTTGATTACTAATTCATTTCAAAAGATTACATAAAAATAGATATATTACCCCCCCCCAAATTAGAAAATGTTGCCAATCTCCAGATGAGTGATAACACACATACCATCCTAATATGCCTTCTCTTGTTCTGGCCATGAACCAGTTTCTAACGTTGGAAGTCAGCTTCAAACAGGCTTTTGTTTATTTGCATCTGCCAGAGGCAAGGCCAGAGGGCCTGGATGTATAAAAGTATCTCACACTCAGAAGGAGGCCCTCAAGCCTTTGTGCCAGTAGATGTGCAAAGAAGTTTAAGTAAGTGTGGGAAAACAGCAACTGTGGATCAGAATTTGCCATAAGGCAAGATCTAACACAGATTTTTTCTGGTTTGCCACAGACAGATGGAATAGCAGCATAATAGGCTTGGCCAAAGTGTCTCCTGAGCTATTCTCTCCATTGTACACACACAAGGGAGACAGCAAAAACACAAAGAAACAGTGCTTAGGAAGGAAGTGTCTCCTTAAAAGCAAAGCCCTCTACCCATTTATTATTTTGATCAAAAAGTAAGAAAAGGGATTGACGCAAAATGCTTCCATGTGTCCTCCTTGAAGGTCAGGGCATTTGTTTTTGAGGGTCAAACTTGCCACGTGGGTACCACCAGTCTTCACTCTCGGTGCAAAGACAGGCAGCTGGACAAAGGACAGCCAGGACTTTTTTAAAGCTGTGTCTTAGCTCAGTACCACCTACAGACTCAAATCTTACTCTTCAGCAAAACAGCTAGGTACCAGTCACTGTATATCACCAAAGCAAAGAGCAGCCAAAAGGACCTACAGGAACGGTTTCAGCCACACCTGTCCAGCTGAACTATGTCTTGACGAGGTATACAACCGTCCTGTCCCTCAAAATAAATGAAAACAAGGAGGGAAGAAAATTTTCCTAAATATTCTATATAATCTCAATAAGAACATTTTTTTAAAACTACTGTTAAATGAGACCATTAAACAATTGAAGAAAGAAAGAATGAATAGCAGAAAAGTGATATTTTTTCTCAAAATGGTTTAAATAGATAAAATAAAATTGGCCACGAGTTTATCATTGTTGAAACTAAGATGGATGCATAGGGCCTTGTTTTACTCTTTTGTCCACTTCTTGTATTTTTAACATTTTCTATAATAAAGTTTTTTAGTTACTTTATAAGTGTATAACTTTTCAGCTTTTCAAACAAAATATAGCATTACTATCAATAGTATAAGTAGTATAATGTTTACTTTTAAAGTTGTTTTTTAATCTGAGGTTAAGAAAACAGCCTGCTTAAAACAAGAACTTGCTCCCAAATACAACTTTTCCCATAAAACAAGTTACCTACAAGCACCTAAGAGAGAATGATATAACTGTAGTACCCTTTCAGAGAGGTTTTAAAAGAAATTCAGGGAGTTTTTCCATAAAATTTTAGTTTTTCTAGGACCTAGAAAAATAAACTAAAAATCACTGCTTCTATCCACTGAGAAACTCTGCACAAAACCAAATGTCTCCAAGAAACTCATCCTGATCGCTAGTGTTCCCTGATATAGACTGATATATACAAATACATTTCAGCACAATTTCAGTCTGTTCACAGAATATGTTTAAGTTCAAAAAGGAAAACCTTCTACTTTTAGTTTTTGATTATTTTTGTTTTTTGGGTTTTTTGTTGTTTGTTTGTTTGTTTTTTCCCAGCCTAACTTTCTATGTATGTATATGTTGTGAATGTAGCATAGGCAATCCTTTGTGAAGGTCATCCTGCAATAACACTCAAGTGCAAATGATTCCTTTTAAAGCCTTTAAATATTTTTTAAGTATGTTCCATTTATGTCATTCAATTGAAGAAAATTTTTATGATTTAATGCTACAAAACATAGAAATATCTATGGGCCAAGAGCCAAAATAACATGGCTTAAAAAAAGATTTCCAGTTAAACCTAAAAAGTGACATTTAGAGAGAAATTCATAACATTTCAGAGAAATGGCTGGATTGGTTTCACCGTACATATTGAAAGTAGTGAAATAAATAAAATCTTTTAAAGAACAGGCTGTGACAATTTTCAACACAACACTTAACACACAATGAAGACAGAACATCTTCCACTCCATATCTGTAAAAAATAAAAATTAGCATTAGAAATCCTACAAAAAAATTAGAAAAAAATTTACCATTTACAGTCATTGATACAATAAACATATTGTACCCAGCAGGGTACTGGGAACCCCATATCCAGAAATCAGTAAGACACAATCCTAGTTCTCCGGGAAAGTATATTTGACAGTGTACATATACAAGCAGACACTGACATTTGGTATTCTTTTCATTAAAATAAAAAGTCGGTTCTTCCTAACCATGAGCATGGAATGTTCTTCCATTTGTTTGTGTCCTCTTTTATTTCATTGAGCAGTGATTTGTAGTTCTCCTTGAAGAGGTCTTCCACATTCCTTGTAAGTTGGATTCCTAGGTATTTTATTCTCTTTGAAGCAATTGTGAATGGGAGTTCACTCATGATTTGGCTCTCTGTTTGTCTGTTATTGGTGTATAAGAATGCTTGTGATTTTTGCACGTTGATTTTGTATCCTGAGACTTTGGTGAAGTTGCTTATCAGCTTAAGGAGATTTTGGGCTGAGACGATGGGGTTTTCTAAATACACAATCATGTCATCTGCAAACAGGGACAATTTGACTTCCTCTTTTCCTAATCGAATACCCTTTATTTCTTTCTTCTACCTGATTGCCCTGGCCAGAACTTCCAACACTATGTTGAATAGGAGTGGTGACAGAGGGCATCCCTGTCTTGTGCCAGTTTTCAAAGGTAATGCTTCCAGTTTTTGCCCATTCAGTATGATTTTGGCTGTGGGTTTGTCATAAATAGCTCTTATTATTTTGAGATACATCCCATCAATAACTAATTTATTGAGAGTTTTTAGCATGAAGGGTTGTTGAATTTTGTCAAAGGCCTTTTCTGCGTCTATTGAGATAATCATGAGGTTTTTGTCTTTGGTTCTGTTTATACACTGGATTACGTTTATTGATTTGCGTATGTTGAACCAGCCTTGCATCCCAGGGATGAAGCCCACTTGATCATGGTGGATAAGCTTTTTGATGTGCTGCTGGATTTGGTTTGCCAGTATTTTATTGAGGATTTTTGCATCGATGTTCATCAGGGATATTGGTCTAAAATTCTCTTTTTTTGTTGTGTCTCTGCCAGGCTTTGGTATCAGGATGATGCTGGCCTCATAAAATGAGTTAGGGAGGATTCCCTCTTTTTCTATCAATTGGAATAGTTTCAGAAGGAATGGTACCAGCTCCTCCTTGTACCTCTGGTAGAATTCGGCTGTGAATCTGTCTGGTCCTGGACTTTTTTTTGGTTGGTAGACTATGAATTATTGCCGCAATTTCAGAGGCTGTTATTGGTCTATTCAGGGATTCAACTTCTTCCTGGTATACTCTTGGGAGGGTGTATGTGTCCAGGAATTTATCCATTTCTTCTAGATTTTCTAGTTTATTTGCATAGAGGTGGTTATAGTATTCTCTGATGGTAGTTTGTATTTCTGTGGGATCGGTGGTGGTATCCCCTTTATTATTTTTTATTGCATCTATTTGGTTCTTCTCTCTTTTATTCTTTATTAGTCTTGCTAGTGGTCTATTAATTTTGTTGATCCTTTCAAAAACCAGCTCCTGGATTCATTGATTTTTTGAAGGGTTTTTTGTGTCTCTATCTCCTTCAGTTCTGCTCTGATCTTAGTTATTTCTTGCCTTCTGCTAGCTTTTGAATGTGTTTGCTCTTGCTTCTCCAGTTTTTTTGTGATGTTAGGGTGTCAATTTTAGATCTTTCCTACTTTCTCTTGTGGGCATTTAGTGCTATAAATTTCCCTCTACACATTGCTTTAAATGTGTCCCAGAGATTCTGGGATGTTGTGTCTCTGTTCTCATTGATTTCAAAGACCATCTTTATTCCTGCCTTCATTTCATTATGTACCCTGTAGTCATTCAGGAGCAGGTTGTTTAGTTTCCATGTAGTTGAGCAGTTTTGAGTGAGTTTCGTAATCCTGAATTCTAGTTTGATCACACTGTGGTCTGAGAGACAGTTTGTTATAATTTTTGTTCTCTTACATTTGCTGAGGAGTGCTTTACTTCCAGCTATGTGGTCAGTTTTGGAATAAGTGTGATGTGGTGCTGAGAAGAATATATATTCTGCTGATTTGGGGTGGAGAGTTCTGTAGATGTCTATTAGGTCTGCTTGGTGCAGAGCTGAGTTCAATTCCTGGATATCCTTATTAATTTTCTGTCTCGTTGATCAGTCTAATGTTGACAGTGGGGTATTAAAGTCTCTCGTTATTATTGTGTGGGAGTCTAAGTCTCTTTGTAGGTCTCTAAGGACTTGCTTTATGAATCTGGGTGCTCCTATATTGGGTGCATATATGTTTAGGATAGTTAGCTCTTCTTGTTGAATTGATCCCTTTACCATTATGTAATGGCCTTCTTTGTCTCTTTTGATCTTTGTTGGTTTAAAGTCTGTTTTATCAGAGACTAGGATTGCAACCCCTGCCTTTTTTTTGTTTTCAATTTGCTTGGTAGATCTTCCTCCATCCCTTTATTTTGAGCCTATGTGTGTCTCTGCATGTGAGATGGGTCTCCTGAATACAGTACAGTGATGGGTCTTGGACTCTTTATCCAATTTGCCAGACTGTGTCTTTTAATTGGAGCATTTAGCACATTTACATTTAAAGTTAATATTGTTATGTGTGAATTTGATCCTGTCATTATGATGTTAGCTGGTTATTTTGCTCGTTAGTTGATGCAGTTTCTTCCTAGCATCGACGGACTTTACAATTTGGCATGTTTTTGCAGTGGCTGGTACCAGTTGTTCCTTTCCATGTTTAGTGCTTCCTTCAGGAGCTCTTGTAGGGCAGGCCTGGTGGTGACAAAATCTCTCAATGCTTGCTTGTCTGTAAAGGATTTTATTTCTCCTTCACTTATGAAGCTTAGTTTGGCTGGATATGAAATTCTGGGTTGAAAATTCTTTTCTTTAAGAATGTTGAATAATGGCCCCCACTCTCTTCTGGCTTGTAGAGTTTCTGCCGAGAGATCCACTGTCAGTCTGATGGGCTTCCCTTTGTGGGTAACCTGACCTTTCTCTCTGGCTGCCCTTAACATTTTTTCCTTCATTTCAACTTTGGTGAATCTGACAATTATGTATCTTGGAGTTGCTCTTCTCAAGGAGTATCTCTGTGATGTTCTCTGTATTTCCTGAATTTGAATGTTGGCCTGCCTTGCTAGGTTGGGAAAGTTCTCCTGGATAATACCCTGCAGAGTGTTTTCCAACTTGGTTCCATTCTCCCCGTCACTTTCAGGTACACCAATGAGACATAGATTTTGTCTTTTCACATAGATCCATATTTCTTGGAGGCTTTGTTTGTTTCTTTTTACTCTTTTTTCTCTAAACTTCTCTTCTCGCTTCATTTCATTCATTTGATCTTCAATCACTGATACCCTTTCTTCCAGTTGATCGAGTCGGCTACTGAAGCTTGTGCATTCGTCACGTAGTTCTTGTGCCATGGTTTTCAGCTCCATTAGGTCATTTAAGTTAGGAAGAATCAATATTGTGAAAATGGCCATACTGCCCAAGGTAATTTATAGATTCAATGCCATCCCTATCAAGCTACCAATGACTTTCTTCACAGAATTGGAAAAAACTACCTGAAAGTTAATAGGGAACCAAAAAAGAGCCCACATTGCCAAGTCAATCCTAAGCCAAAAGAACAAAGCTGGAGGCATCACACTGCCTGACTTCAAACTATGCTACAAGGCTACAGTAAGCAAAACAGCATGGTACTGGTACCAAAACAGATATAGACCAATGGAACAGAACAGAGCTCTCAGAAATAATACCACACATCTACAACCATCTGATCTTTGACAAACCTGACAAAAACAAGAAATGGGGAAAGGATTCCCTATTTAATAAATGGTGCTGGGAAAACTGGCTAGCCACATGTAGAAAGCTGAAACTGGATCCCTTCCTTACACCTTATACAAAAATTAATTCAAGATGGATCAAAGACTTAAATGTTAGACCTAAAACCATAAAAACCCTAGAAGAAAACCTAGGCAATATCATTCAGGACATAGCCATATCAAGGACTTCATGTCTAAAACACCAAAAGCAATGGCAACAAAAACCAAAATTGACAAATGGGATCTAATTAAACTAAAGAGCTTCTGCACAGCAGAAGAAACTACCATCAGAGTGAACAGGCAACCTACAGAATGGGAGAAAATTTGGGCAATCTATTCATCTGACAAAGCACTAATATCCAGAATCTACAATGAACTCAAACAAATTTACAAGTAAAAAACAAACAACCCCATCAAAAAGTGGGCAAAAGATATGAACAGACACTTCTCAAAAGAAGACATTTATGCAGCCAAGAGACACATGAAAAAATGCTCGTCATCACTGGCCATCAGAGAAATGCAAATCAAAACCACAATGAGATACCGTCTCACACCAGTTAGAATGGCGATCATTAAAAAGTCAGGAAACAACAGGTGCTGGAGAGGATGTGGAGAAATAGGAACACTTTTACACTGTTGGTGGGACTGTAAACTAGTTCAACCATTGTGGAAGACAGTGTGGCAATTCTGCAAGGATCTAGAACTAGAAATACCATTTGATCCAGCCATCCCATTACTGGATATATACCCAAAGGATTATAAATCATGCCACTATAAAGACACATGCACACATATGTTCATTGTGGCACTATTCACAATAGCAAAGACTGGAACCAACCCAAATGTCCATCAATGATAGACTGAATTAAGAAAATGTGGCACATATACACCATGGAATACTATGCAGCCATGAAAAAGGATGAGTTCATGTCCTTGTAAGAACATGGATGAAGCTGGAAACCATCATTCTGAGCAAACTATCACAAGGACAAAAAAATAAACACTGCATGTTCTCACTCATAGGTGGGAATTGAACAAAGAGAACACCTGGACATGGGAAGGGGAATGTCACACACTGGGGCTTGTAGTAGGGTGGGGGGTGGGGGAGGGATAGTATTAGGAGATATACCTAATATAAATGACGAGTTACTGGGTGCAGCACACCAACATGGCATACGTATACATATGTAACAAACGTGCACTACGTACCACCTAACGTACCACCTAACCACACAGTATCACAGAAATAGTAATTACCTATAAAATCTCCTGCTTCCTTTTCTCTTTTCTCTGTTTTTTTATTCCTGATGCTTCTTCCACTGGTATAGGCCATGAAACAGATTAATCTCACATCAGGCTCAAGAAAGTTGAGACAGAGTTATATAGTGAGATTTTTTAAAGGAGAAAAAGAAAAAAACACAAAGGGAAGTATTTCTATTACTGTTACAGGAAATATGAAAATAGATATAAATAAATATATTTTTTTCAGTATAGCATTAAATTCCATTGGTACATAGTGTGTGTTTTACTCTGTTGGCAATAGATATCTGACTAAAAACCAAATTGCATGCTACTTCCATGCCGTAAATCTGGAAAAGGTTTCTAAATAGGATTTTGGTATACTTGTATCATTCATCTCCCCCAAAAATGGTAGCCCTTATTTTTAACAATAAGTGCTGATATTCACTGACAGGTTTACAAATAGTGTACAACTATATTATGAGGTAGATAGTATCATTACTCCCATAGACACAATGTTATCACATGGAGTGATAGGTGAAGTGTGGCATCACCCAGCTCTTTCTGAAGGATGGGAGGATGGAGGAATCTCCAGAAGACCTACCTTGGGCCAAGACCTGGGAGATAAATTAGAACCCAACAGTTAGACATGGGCTTGATGAAGGGCACCTAGTCAGAGGGACAAAATGTGCAAATGCAGAGAGGTATGGGTAGTTATGCACGGCAGTAAGAAGTTACATATGTCGGGGGCAGGAAGAGCACTGGGGATAGTGGCTAGAAATAAAGTTGAAAAAATTCACAAAAAGCTTGGTCTACCAGGCTGAGAAGACTCAGATTTACACTTTAGGCACTGAAGAGCCACTGGGGAATTCTGCAAATAGATGATGAGATTTGCATTTTAGAAAGATCTCTCTGATGGTAGTTTAAGGATAGATTTCAGTGAAACCAGAATGAAAATAAAATAAGCAATTGATAGATTAATTTTTTAATTTATTTTTTATTTTCTATATACAAAGCGTATAACATAATGTTTTGATACTCATATACATAGTGAAATAAGCACTAAAGTCAAATTAACGTATCCATCACCTTCTGTATTAGTTCGCTCTTATATTGCTATAAAGGCGTACCTGAGACTAGGTAATTATAAAGAAAATATTTAATTGGCTCATGGTTCTGCAGGCTCTACAGGAAGCATAACACAGGCATCAGCTTCTGGGGATGCCTCAGGAAGCTTCCAATGATGGTGGAAGGTGAAGGGGGAGCAGGTGTCTCACATGGCAGAAGGAAAAGCAAGAAAGAGAGAGGGGGAAGGTGCCACACATTTTTAAATGACCAGATATCACAAGAACTCACTCACTATCATGAGGACAGTACCAAGGGGACAGTACTAAACAATTCACAAGAAATCTGCCCCTATGATCCAATCAACTCCCACCAGGCCCCACCTTCAACAGTGAGGATTACATTTCAACATGAGATTTGGGCAGGGACACACATTGAAACTATATCGCCTTCCACAGTTATCCTTTTTGTGTGTGTATAGTAAGAGTACCTGACATCTACTCTTTCAGTAAATTTTAGTATACAACACAAGATTATGAATTATAATCCTCATGCTATACATTATATCTCTAGACTTAATAATGGTCAGTCCAGGATAGAAATTATGAGACCTTGACTAAAGTAATGTCTGGGCAGACAGAGAAAAGAGATATTTGGAAGATAGAAGTTAGAAAAATTCTATATAATTTTTCCAGTTATATAAATTTCTTCAGTAGATAGAAGGAATTACTTTCATTTGTTTCTGTTAACTTCTGTGTCCCACTCAGCAAATATAATGTTTGGAAAAAACAGGATATAAACATTTGACTTAACTGAATTTAACTTTCCTAATATTCTTTTCTAACACATGCTTGTCCATAGAAATCATTATCCATGGAAAACTACTGTTCTAATCTGTCAGTAAATATTAGTTATGTGTTTTAATTTTCACATATAAAGATTCACAAAGAAAAAAACATGGCCCTTTCTCAAGAGGAAAGAAAAAAATTCTAGGTCAATAGTAAACCTATGAGGGTTCTAGAAGAAGGAGGAGGGGCTGGCATAGAGTAGACACCACCAACAGAAAGTGCTAGATGAATGTAAATTGAAAGATTAAGAGGTCAATATTTAGGGTGCTAAAATTACCTACACAGAGAAACTCTTAGTTTTAGGACCTGCTGAAAGAGAAATATTTAGTGTTTGGTACTTCATTTCTATATCAGAGCAACAAAGGGATCAAAACCAAAGAGAGCGTCTGGTCTTCTTCGAGGCATTAAGTTGACTTTGAGAGGTTTTTTTTCTTGCATTTTTGCTGTAAGGTTGACTCTTATTTTCTATACCTAAGTATAGATTACTAGTCTATGAATATGTATATTGTTTAACACAGAAGTACACAGAAGTTACTTTCACGTAAGAAGCTTAATTGGCTCCCCCTCCCCCTCCCCCTCCCCCTCTCCCCACGGTCTCCCTCTCCCTCTCTTTCCACGGTCTCCCTCTGATGCCCAGCCGAAGCTGGACTGTACTGCTGCCATCTCGGCTCACTGCAACCTCCCTGCCTGATTCTCCTGCCTCAGCCTGCCGAGTGCCTGTGATTGCAGGCACGTGCCGCCACGCCTGACTGGTTTTCGTATTTTTTTTGGTGGAGACAGGGTTTCACTGTGTTGGCCGGGCTGGTCTCCAGCACCTAACCGTGAGTGATCCGCCAGCCTCGGCCTCCCGAGGTGCCAGGATTGCAGACGGAGTCTCGTCCACTCAGTGCTCAATGGTGCCCAGACTGGAGTGCAGTGGCGTGATCTCGGCTCGCTACAACCTCCACCTCCCAGCCGCCTGCCTTGGCCTCCCAAAGTGCTGAGATTGCAGCCTCTGCCCGGCCGCCACCCCGTCTGGGAAGTGAGGAGCCTCTCTGCCTGGCCGCCCATCGTCTGGGATGTGAGGAGCCCCTCTGCCCGGCCGCCCAGTCTGGGAAGTGAGGAGTGCCTCTTCCCGGCCGCCATCCCATCTAGGAAGTGAGGAGTGTCTCTGCCCGGCCGCCCATCGTCTGAGATGTGGGGAGAGCCTCTGCCCCGCTGCCCCGTCTGGGATGTGAGGAGCGTCTCTGCCCGGCCACCCCATCTGAGAAGTGAGGAGCCCCTCTGCCCGGCGGCCGCCCCGTCTGAGAAGTGAGGAGCCCCTCCGCCCGGCAGCCACCCCGTCTGGGAAGTGAGGAGCGTCTCCGCCCGGCAGCCGCCCCGTCCGGGAGGGAGGTGGGGGTCAGCCCCCGCCCGGCCAGCCGCCCCGTCCGGGAGGGAGGTGGGGGGTCAGCCCCCGCCCGGCCAGCCGCCCCGTCCGGGAGGGAGGTTGGGGGAGCCTCCGCCCGGCCAGCCGCCCCGTCCGGGAGGTGGGGGGCGCCTCTGCCCGGCCGCCCCTTCTGGGAAGTGAGGAGCCCCTCTGCCCGGCCACCACCCCGTCTGGGAGGTGTACCCAACAGCTCATTGAGACCGGGCCATGATGACAATGGCCGTTTAGTGGAATAGAAAAGGGGGAAAGGTGGGGAAAAGATTGAGAAATCGGATGGTTGCTGTGTCTGTGTAGAAAGAAGTAGACATGGGAGACTTTTCATTTTGTTCTGTACTAAGAAAAATTCTTCTGCCTTGGGATCCTGTTGATCTATGACCTTACCCCCAACCCTGTGCTCTCTGAAACATGTGCTGTGTCCACTCAGGGTTAAATGGATTAAGGGCAGTGCAAGATGTGCTTTGTTAAACAGATGCTTGAAGGCAGCATGCTCGTTAAGAGTCATCACCACTCCCTAATCTCAAGTACCCAGGGACACAAACACTGCGGAAGGCCGCAGGGTCCTCTGCCTAGGAAAACCAGAGACCTTTGTTCACTTGTTTATCTGCTGACCTTCCCTCCACTATTGTCCTATGACCCTGCCAAATCCCCCTCTGCGAGAAACACCCAAGAATGATCAATTAAAAAAAAAAAAATTAAAGTAGAAAAAATAAATAAATAAAAAAAGAAGCTTAATTGTTATTTATTCTTAATTGCTATTGTATTTACACAGGACTAACTTTCTTCTCTGCCTATAAAACTTAATAATGGCCAGGCGCAGTGGCTCACACCTGTAATCCCAGCACTTTGGAAGGCCAGGGCAGGCTGATCACCTGCGGTTGGGAGTTCTAGACCAGCCTGATCAACATGGAGAAACCCCATCTCTACTAAAAATACAAAATTAGCCAGGTGTGGTGGCACATGCCTGTAATCCCAGCTACTCGAGAGGCTGAGCCAGGAGAATTGCTTGAATCCGAGAGGTGGAGGTTGCGGTGAGCAGAGATCACGCCATTGCACTCCAGCCTGGGCAAGGGAAACTATGATTCCCATTCTACATGGGAAACTATGATACTTATCAGAAAACATGATCAAAACTGGGTAGGAGAGAGGTTCACCTAGTAGGCAATATTGGCATTCAAGGGTTATGCCTGGGACACCAAGTTCCTTGTGAGATCAGCTGAAGTTGACTCTGAAAGAAAGAATGAAGATAGCAAAACAGTCACCGAATCCAAAATCCAGGAAAGTAACCTAGTTCTAAGCTGCAGAAGATTCTGGGACCAATGTTGACACACATCCCTTGTCTCTCAAAGAACAGGCTCCAGTGCTTAAGATTCAGCATAAAACTGAGGCATCATTTGTTCTAGCTCTGAAAATATCAAAAGACAGAGGCAAGAAAAATGAGGTAGAGGCTGACATTTTGAAATTGTTATATATTTTTTCGAAAGAAATAGTAAGGGGAAGTTGCTATAATTCAGAAAAAAATGGCAGCCCTGTTCTTTTCTTTCTAAGCCATTTCTATTCTTCTCTCTCTATTGCTCCTATTCTGCTCTTAGAAGACAATGAAAAAGAAAACTAAAACATGACTTTCCCCAGAATTATTCATACAAAGGAACAGACCATCTGAAAAGCAGCCTGGCATATACTATTCTAGCAGAAAACCCTATTCTGTGGAATCACTGGCATATCATGCTTACCATGTGGAGCTACTTGGTTCCACTGTCTTTCATTTAATTTAGCAGTGTTTTATTACCTTCTTACTACAACCTCAGCACTGTAAAAGACACACAGAAGAACCAACACAAATGTATGACTCCAAAAACTTAGTCTAGTTGAAGAGGCAAGAAAATAAGAAAGGCAACATATAACCAAGTGCTAAATGGTCTTAATGTCACTAATTATGAAGAGATAAAGGACTCCTGAATAAGAAGTAAACATAGAAACAGATAAATTGCAATAGAAATCCATTTGTCTTCTGCTGGTGCATTTATGAAAACATGGACACATTCCCTGTGATTATAACCCCCTATGAATATAACCCAGATGACAAATGTGAGAGAAATAAGAAAAGGAGGCAAACATTTTAGGGTAGAGCAATAGGAAAGGACTTCATGAAAGGTAGTGTTGGAGCTAAACCTTGAAGGAAAAGCAGAAGACATTCCAGGAGTGGGAGACTGAAAAAGCATGGCATGTGCAAGGTACAGAAAAGATGCCAGTAGTGGTTTCTTTTGGGGGATTACAGAGACGATAATGAGTATTCAGAAATGCACATGGAAGAATGGGGAATTGGGGATGGAGAGGCTGCAAAATTGTAGGTTCTTAAGGGTAAATTTGCAGAATCATTAAATCAGAGAAACTCAGAATTACAAAGGACCTCAGAAATCGTCAAAACCAATTTTCAACTCAATGCAATAATATCTGTATGTGGTCATACGGCCTCTACCAAAAAATTCCCAGTGAGAGAAAGAAAATTCACCATTTTTGAGAGAGACTTCTAAATGTTAGAAATGTCTTCTTTATAGAGTTATCATTGTTCTCTTCTTGACCTATGGAGATATAAATATGTTAAAATATGTCACCCCATTTTCACATGCCAGGCTGTGTCAAGAATAAATTGGTATTTAGGGCATGCTATCCAAAACATACTAGAAAGAATGGACTGTCAGCTTCAAGGTGATCCTAGCTTAAACTCTAGATCCATCTCAGTCTAAGACTACTAGAAATTGTGTCTATTCAAACAAACTCTACTTTGATTAGATAAATTAATGTCTGAGCCGCACCAAGTTGCTCTGAGAAGACTGGGTTTGGTGTCAAGACTACAACATCAGGATTTTCTAAAAATGGAGTCTAACCTCAAGATATGAAAGAAGCAAGCAGGCTTTGGCTAAAATACATGTGATTATAACATTCATGGACCATGTAATTTCTCCCTGCTGGTAAAAGAATGTGGTTCTGTTAGAGAATTTGTCAGTAATTCAGAAACATGTCAGAGTTTAGCATATTGCTTCTATTACACTCATGCAACAGTAAAAAATAAGTTTCTGCTGTAATTATGAGGACAAGGGTTTTTAATCTCTATTTTTATTCCTTATCTATTATCCATAGGAGTCCCCACAGCAGGACATGGAAAATTCATCCCCTTAGCAATTTATTCCAATTTTCCTACTCAATCAATTATTCCCCCAAATCATATAAATAATTGACTGCTGGGAGTGGGAATCAAATATACCACAGGGCTCCCTTCATAATCATATGAGGTAGAGTTTCTCAGCCTCAGCACTATTGCCATCTGTGAGTCAGATAATTCTTTATTGTGGAGGACTGTCCTGTGCATTGTAGGATGTTAAGCAGCATCCCTGACCTCTACTTACTAGATGCCAGCTATCCCTCCCCTCATCAGTCATGAAAACCACAAATGTCACCAGACATTGCCAAACATCTCCTGGGAATAAAAATTGTCCCAGGTTGAGAACTCCTGATATAAAGATACAGTCTTAGTTAAAACCTACTCTGGGCTATACTTTTCAGGCACATTTTTAAAGTGGTAGTGACTGCCCTTTCTGGCTTACATCCACATAAAATCTGTTGTTTATTCCAATCTCTTCAGAGAAAAGTGTGAACACCCTATTTCTTGACAAATGACTTTGATTATTAGATTGTACCACAATGCGCATCAAAGTACAAGGACAGAGCTTTAACTCTGCTGTCAAGACAACCACTGCCTCTTCAAGCAAAAGAAAAATCAAAGATTTGTAGGATGCCAGTTGAGTAGGAATCTTAAGCCAAAGGCAAGTGCTGTGGCCATGACTGAGCACCTGGCACTTCCCCATGAGAGCTGAATACTCAAGAAAATTGAGACTTCAAATGAGCTTCCACCTAACAAGCTGTAATTTTGTTTCATTGGTGGCGGGTAGAGGACGAGTTGGGGGAAGAAACCAGAGGAGAATTCAACATGACAGTCCATTTGCTAATTCAACGAGGGGGAGTTCAAGACAATCTTCAGAATGCCGCAAGACAAAAGCATCATTATCTGTAATTACTGCTTACCAGTAGCACAGACTGATAACAAGCTTCCTCCGCCAATCTTACCCTGCCATTATGAGAAGGGGCGATTAAACTAATTAACAAATCAACTTTTCTGTGCAACATTGGGCTCAATAAGCAGAAAATAATGAGAAAAAGCTAGTTACTTGAAGGGATGAAATGAGACAGAAATCTGAGGTTAACAATAATATGGACAGGGAGCTCGAATAATTGAGAAAGGTGTACATTTTAACATTAGAAAATCTGATTCCACATGGGGAAATATGGAGCTATTTGATCAAAGCCACAGTTTAAATGCAAAGTGCTTTATTTGATCATGAAAAGCATTACAACAATCATGCACAACCCTAATATGTGACAAATACAAAATAATGCCTCACCTATGGAGAAGTCAGACTGTCAGCAACCTCAGTGATCTCAGTTATAGACACTAACTCAAAATGAATCACAAAAAGAGGTCTTTTAGACATAAAGTCACATTAGTCTATAGGAAGAGACAAATAACTACTCTCACACCATTGCTATATTTTGTACCTCTCTCAACTCCTCCATTCTTGAAGAGGGGAGGGGCAGTATGTCTTTAACTTATCTCTACCTAAGGCCTTTTTATACATCATAGGTATTCAGTAAGAAGTATTTACCAGTGTGACAGCCATACCACATGTGGCTACTGAGCACTTGAAATGTGGCCAGTGAGACTAAGGATCTGAATTTTTATTTTGTTTTATTTTAATTTAATTTTAATTTAAAAACTGCTTGCTATTGTTTGGCTGTTCCCACCCAAATCTCATCATGAATTGTAGCTCCCATAATCCCCATGTGTCATGGGAGGGACTTTATGGGAGGTAATTGAATCATGGGGGCGGTTTTTTCCCATGCTATTCTGGTGATAATGAATAAATCTTACAAGATCTGATGGTTTTATAATGGGTAGTTTCCCTGCACACGTTCTCTTTCCTGCCACCACATAAAACGTGCCTTTGCTCCACCTTCACCTTCCACCATGATTGTGATTGTGAGGCCTCCCCAGCTTTGTGGAACTGGGAGTCCATTAAACCTCATGTTCTTTATAAATTACCCAGTGTTGGGTATTTTTTCATAGCAGTATAAAAATGGACTAATACACTGCTATTCAATTCACTTGTTGAGAAACTTTTAAATAGTCTCAAAACAATTTGGGTACATGAATCCACTTTTTCAACTGTAAATTTTATGAAATCTAAATAAATAGCACATATCTATCAAAAATTTAGCATTCCAATTGAGTTGTGTTGCAAAAGTTAAATACACACCAGATTTCAAAGACTTGGAATTTAAAAAATAATATAAAATACATCATTAATATTTGTATATTGATTACCTGTTGAAATGATAGCATTTTGGATACATTGTGTTATATAAAATATATTATTAAAGATAATTTCACCTATTTCTCTTTACTTTGTTTAATGTGACTACTGGAAATTATAAATTACATATTTGGCTATTAGATGGTGTTGGTCTATAGAGTGAATGAATGCAACATACAGCAGTATATCAGAAGCAGGAAGAGAATACCGACTAACAGCAACAAAAAATGACATCTACAACTGAAGAGAGTCGAATAAAATCAAGAAACCACAATGACCTAGAGTCATTTAAAGCATGAGTATATATTTTCACCTATTTCATAGGTGTCTGAGGGTATCACTGTTATTTATGTATTATAACTCTTTTTGTATAAATTTATCATGCACAACATGTTCTTTTGAAATATGCATACACTATAGAATGGCTAAATTGAGCTAATTAACATATACATTACCTCACATATCAATTTTTATGGTGAGAACATTTAAAAATCTACCCTTAGCAATTCTCAAGAATACAATACACTGTTATATACTATAATCACATACTGTACAATAGATCTCTTGATTCCTCCTAACTGAAATTGTGTATCCTTTGACCAACATTTCTGCAATCCCTCCTCCACACAGCCCCTGGTAACCATCATTCTATGAATTCAACTTTTTAAATTCCACATATAAGTGAGAGCCCCTAGTATTTGTGTTTCTGCACCTGGCTTATTTCACTTAATGTAATATCCTCCAGGCTCATCCATGTTGTCACAAATGACAGGATTTTCTTCTTGTTAAGGCTGAATCATATTTCGTTAAGTATTTATACCACATTTTCTTTACCCATTTATCCATTGTTGGAAGCTTAGGTTGCTTCCAAATCTTGGCTATTGTAAATAGTTCTGCAATAAGCATGGAACTGAAGATATCTCTTCAACATACTGATTTCATTTCCTTTGACTATATACTCAGTAGTGGGATTTCTAGATCAAATGATAATTCTATTTTTAATTTTTTTAGGAACCTCTGTACTGTTTTCCATAATGGCTATACTAATTTGCAGTCCCACCAACAGTGTGTAGGGGTTTCCTTTCTCCACATCTTCTCCAATATTTATCTTTTGTCTTTTTTTTTTTTTTTTTTTTGAGAGAGAGTCTCATTCTGTTACCCAGGCTAGAGTGCAGTGGCATGATCTTGATTCACCGCAACCTCCACCTCCCAGGTTCCAGTGATTCTCCTGTCTCAGCCTCCCAAGCAACTGGGTCACAGGCATGTACCACCACACCTGACTAATTTTTGTATTTTTAGTAGAGACAGGGTTTCACAATGTTGGCCAGGCTGGTCTCAAACTCCTGACCTCAAGTAATCTGCCTGCCTCAGCCTCCCAAAGTGCTGGGATTACAGGCATGAGCCACCATGCCTGGCCTATCTTTTGTCTTTTTGATAAGTCATTCTAAACAGTGTAAAGTAATATCTTACACTGTGATTTTAATTTGCATTTCTCTGATGATTACTAATTTTTTATACATCTGTTGGCCATTTGCATGTCTTCTTTGGAGAAGATATACATATGTATTGTAACTCAGCCACAAAGAAAGGTATGATGGTGGAACTTGTCATTATTTTAACATTTAACAATAAGTTCCACTTACCTAAATATTTCACTAATATATAACAACTCATTTAATTATCACAATAATCTTACGAGACAAATATTACTATTACCTTTCCAATTTTGTAGGTAAGGAAATTGGAGCATAAGGAGGTTAAGTAATTTTGTCAACGTTACATATATTTACTATGATTTTCTATTATTCCTGTCAAAATTCTTTTCCAACATTCCCCTATACATGTGTTTGATCAAAATGCTTCTTTCCTCTATCTTTAAATATTGTCCTTTTCAATGGCGCCCTTAGCCTGGAATGATTTAGCCAAATCAACCCTAGGAATGAAAGTTCTGCCAGATGTCACAGGCAAACCTCCATTATATTCTCTAACATTAGTAAAAGTCCTGCTGATGTGGGGTCTATCAGGAGACTAGTTTATAAAGTCTCTCCTCTAATTTCTGGTTAAGAGTTGCTACAATTTCTAAAAGCCTCTGGTTCTTCTACATGGCAAATAACATTCTAGCAAGAACTTAAAAATACTACATGAAACCATAAACTGGTAATATTTGTATTGCATTACCTCTGATGATATAACAAAATAAAAAATAAATATTGTGGTTTTTAAGGAAGTAGAAATTATCTTTAATCTCTGTGGCTTCAGTTAATATATAACAGTTTCACCAATAAAAGTTCAGTAAGAAAGATTAAGATATGATAGGACACCTAAAAAGATGAAAGGCTGATTGAGAAGAGTGGAAGAGGGTAAGAATTAAGAAGGTTAAATAATTAAGCAAATGGTCTGAATGAAAAGAAGCAAGGTATCAGAAGGCAAAATGATAGAGAAACAAAAAAATGCAGCTGGTTCGAAGACAGTGTTATCTCAACTAATTGTTCACAGTCAGTTACAGATCAAACTCCTTGTTCTACTCTTTCCCCCTTTCTCACTACTGCACTTGACTAGTCTAGAAAAAAAAAAATTAAACCCACCTGAAACACAAGGGAAGAGAAACTGAGCAGCTTAATGAGGAATTTATTTAAAGCAGTAATAGCAGCACACATTTAAGAAAACTGAGCACTTTTTAAGTGTGAGCATTAACTAATGTAATTTAATAACACGGAAGGCCAATGTGCTTTGTAGTAAGCTGGTTAGTGTTTCTATTTTCTATTCATTGCCTTGTTTTTCCCGCTTTGGTTATTTGTTTTCTCTTTCTAAACAAAAATTAATACACTAAGAGTCCAGGTATAAAAATTTAAGACATGAAAAATTAAGCATATGGCATCAAGATTCTTTCATTTTTATAAAAGGAAAATTAGAGCATCACTCTTATTCAACAATTATCTGTTTTTAACCTATTTGATAATATGAAGATATGGGGAAAATAGCTATTAGAAAGGTTGTAGACTAAAGAATAACCAGGATTCTGTAGATGGTGAGCACTGTTCTGACTTTTTCTGTGAGTACCTTGGAGAACATCATCCTGGGTACATTTAATTTTCTTCTAGTGGCTTCAGGATTACTTCTGGGAAACAAGCCCTTGTCAAGAAAGAGAAATAAATCAAGTTTTTCTTTAATCTCATTAAGTCCCCACAGTGCAGGCTGACTTTACCAGAAGCTCTTTAGTGATTTTTATTTGTTGCATTTTTCCAAACAGAAGACACAAAGGAAAGGAGCACTGGTGGCCTGTCAGTTCTCAACACTCTGCCAAAAGACCTGGCTGTCATCACGAGGATTTATCAGCTTGCCTTACAGGACACCTAAACCTGTCATGTGGCTCAGGGTTCCTGACCAAAGTCACTAAAGAAGCTATTACCTGAGAGCCCAGCAAATACTGTGGCCTGGAGCAATATTTGGTATGACTGACAGCATGTGCTGTTACCAGATCTTTTGCTATAAAACGCTGGAATCAGGAAGGATTACTCTAGAGAAAATTTAATGTAAAGAAATTTAAGCCTTTGACCAAAGTTGTCTTATCTTGAAACAGTATCTTTCTCAAGATTCTTTTTTTTAATATATCCTTTCATAAATCCCTTATGGCTTAATCCCTTGTGAAACAGCATGTATCTTTAATATTACATTATTTTTCAAAATTTGTTGTGTTTAAATCCTAAGAACAAGTTAGTAAACAGTCATGATAGAAACTGCAATTCCAAACCACCTTAACAAAAAGATCCACATATAGAGATGTGATTGAATTTGGTTTATTTTTTAGTGCTTATAAATATTCTACCCTTTTCATCTTTGTTTCTTTTAGATAAGCATTTGGACCTTCAAATAGAATATACTTTTTTTGCATTCATTTGAACATCTTTTCTGACTTAGAACTTGTCTCAAGGGAAAACCTTGAAAGAAAATTAAAACTTCTTTTTTAAAGCCCATAGCAATTCATTAATATTTTCAAGCTTTTCAATACAGTTGCATTCACAAATTGGATTTGCACTGTTTGATATAAAACAATTGTTTTTCACTTCAAGTGCTCCACTGTTTTCAAGCTTGTTAATTAAATGTTTTATTTTTAAAAATACTGTACAATTTTCTCAAAACTTCATCTGCACCTGCTCTGTAAATGAAAAGATGTCCTTGGAACAACTCCAGTTTATTAAGTGGAAAGCCATTTATTTCACACAAGAATTCAGTCTTTTACCTGCAAGCTTTAACATGAGTTACTGTGCATTGTATTATTTCACCTTTTATCTGCTTTCAATTAATAGAAGCATTTTTAATGTGTGGAGAGGAAAAAGACATGTTGTTTGGAATGTCACTTCCATTGCCTGATGCTCCTATGTGTGTGCTGAACTGACATCCCTGTAAAGTTATTTGGTGGCTTTATCTTTTAGCCTGGCCCTTTTGGTCTTGCCCCATCATCCTTTTTCCCAAAGAGATTATGTAGTGTGATCTGATGAGATATGCAGATGGCGTGGAGCAGTAAAACTGCTACAACCTCTCAGGGATTTTTCACAGCACAGCTAAATTAGTAAACTGCTTTCTAACACAGAAAAGAAATTAGGGACACATGGGATCTGATACAGTTTGGATATTTGTCCCTACCCCAATCTCATGATGACTTGTAATCCAAAATGCTGGAGTGGGTCCTGGTGGGAGGTGTTTGGGTCGTGGGGGCAGATTCTATCTCAAAGACAAAATGCATCTCAAAAATGCATCTTTTCCACTAAGTGGGGAGAGCGTCTTAAAATTAAAGGGAAAAAAACTGCATGCAGCCCCCTGAGCTACAATTGGTAATCTAGTACTCAGGGTAGTACTCTTGGTACAAGATGGATGGGCACCTATAACAACAACACTGCCCAGAAAGAGACAACTTTTGAGGCACCTGTTTATACTGCTCCCACCTGCATTCTCCTTTTAGCTAGAACTTACATGAGCTGCCTGTGGGACTCTCTCCCTCC
Source organism: Homo sapiens (assembly GCF_000001405.40). Taxonomy (NCBI): domain Eukaryota; kingdom Metazoa; phylum Chordata; class Mammalia; order Primates; family Hominidae; genus Homo; species Homo sapiens. The sequence goes on along the minus strand of NC_000006.12, from coordinate 99,639,801 downwards.
CTCTTGTTAAGAGTAAGAACAGAGCATACATTTTGTAAATTAGTGACTGTTCCACTTTTCAAGGCTAGAAGGAAGTGAGGAGCCAAGGTAGTGCATCCTATGGCCTTAATTCCACTATATTGCCTGTAGACTCCTACCCAAGACATCATGAAGGATATAGATATATGGAAGAAATTTTTAAAAAGTCCATCTAAAGAAGTTATTTTATCCTCTTTAATAAAGGCAGTATTTTGGCATGAGCAAATAGTACTTATTTGCATAAATAATAAAGTATATTTACTTCTCTATCTGTCACACAGCCCATTTGGATGACTTCCATGATGTAAAATAAGGCATGTTATGGTATTAATATCATTAGTCCTGATGATTCATTATTCGGCTGGAAATAGACAATAATAATCCTCAAAAATTAATACTGCTCTGTGATTGGTTTTAATGTAGCTCTTAAAATAATTTTATTTAATAATAATTTAATAATTACTAAATTGATTAAATTATTTAATAATGTGTTTGCTTAATGTAATTATTGAAATTTTTTTCTACTTTGATCACATCTTGAAACTTATGTTGGTAAATTTGAAGATTTGCTTTCTTGCTCTCTAAATATAAAGAGAAATAGACATTAATATATTGTATAGATACTGATATTGATATTACAGATATATAGATATTGCTGAATTACTGGAGAGTCAGTTGAATACATTATAATACTTCATTTCTCAATAATTTAGCATGCATCTAGTAAGAAAAAAGCATTCTTCTTTATAACCTTAATACAATTATCATACTGGGGTAGTTGAACATTGATCCAACACTATTATTGTCTATATATTATATATATCTTATATATAAGCCATATTCAGATTTCCCTAATTGTCCTGTGATACAGTTTGGCTGTGTCCCCACCCAAATCTCACCTTGAATTGTAATAATCCCCACATGTCAAGGGCAGGGACAGTTGGAGATAATTGAATCATGGGGGCAATTCTCCCATACTGTTCTCATGGTAATGAATAAGTCTCATGATATCTGATGGTTTTATAAATGGGAGTTCCCCTGCACAAGCTCTCTCTTGCCTGCCACCATGTAAGATGTGCCTTTGCTTCTCCTTTGCCTTCTGCCATGATTGTAAGGCCTTCCTCACCATGTGGAACTATGAGTCCATTAAATCTCTTTCCTTTATAAATTACCCAGTCTCAGGTATGTCTTTATTAGCAACATGAGAACAGACTAATACAGTAAATTGGTACCAGGAGTGGGGTGCTACTGTAATGATATCCAATAATGTGGAAGCGACTTTGGAACTGGGTAATAGGCAGAGGTTGGAACAGTCTGGAGGGCTCAAAAGAGGACAGGAAGATGTGGGAAAGTTTGGAACTTCCTAGAGACTTGTTAAATGGCTTTGACCAACATGCTAATAGTGATATTAAGTCCAATTACTGGACTTCCTGTCACAATCTGGACAATGAAGTCCAGGGTGAGGTGGTCTCAGATGAAGATGAGGAACTTGCTGGGAACTGGAATAAAGGTGAATCTTGCTACGTTTTAGCAAAAAGACTGGCAGCATTTTGCCCCTGACCTAGAGATGTGTGGAACTTTGAACTTGAGAGAGATGATTTAGGGCATCTAGCAGAAGAAATTCCTAAGCAGCAAAGCATTCAAATATGACTTGGGTGCCGTTGAAAGCATTCAGTTTTATGTATTCACAAAAATGTGGTTTGAAATTGGAACTTATGTTTAAAAGGGAAGCAGAGCATAAAAGTTAGAAAATTTGCAGCCTGATGATGTGACAGAAAAGAAAAACCCATTTTCTAAGGAGAAATTCAAGCCAGCTGCAGAAACTTTCATAAGCAACAAGGAGCCAAATATTAATTGCTAAGAAAATGGGGAAAATGTCTCCAGAGCATGTCACAGACCTTCATGGCAGCCCCTCTCATCACAGGCCTGGAGGCCTAGGGGGTAAAAATGGTTTCATGGGCCAGGCCCAGGGTCCCCCTGCTCTATGCAGCCTCAGGATATGTTGCCCTGTGTCCCAGATGCTTCAGCTCCAGCCATGGCTAAAAGGGGCCAACGTACAGCTTGGCCCAATGCTTTAGAGGGTACAAACCCTAAGTCTTGGCAGCTTACATGTGGTATTGGTCCTGCAGGTGCACAGAAGTCAAGAATTGAGGTTTTTTAATCTCAGCCTAGATTTCAGAGGATGTATGGAAGTGCCTGGATGTCTAGGCAGAAGTTTGCTGCAGGGGTGTGGCCCTCATGAAGAACCTCTACTATGGCAGTGTGGAAGGAAAATGTGGAGCTGGAGCCCCCCCACAGAGAGTGGCCACTAGGGCACTGCCTAGTGGAGCTGTGAGAAAAGGGCCACCATCCTCCACCATCTTCCAGACCCCAGAATGGTAGATCTACTGCTTGCACCATCCACCTGGAAAAGCCACAGACACTCAACACCAGCCCATGAAAACAGCCAGGAGCAGGGCTGTACCCTGAAAAGCCACAGGGGTGGAGCTGCCCAAGGCTGTGGGAGCCCAACTCTTGCATCCTGTACGTGAGACATCGAAACAAAGGAGATCATTTTGGAGCTTTAAGATTTGACTGCTCCATGGTGGCACATGCCCGTAATCCCAGCTACTCGGGAGGCTGAGGCAGGAGAATCGCTTGAACCTGAGAGATGGAGGTTGCAGTGAGCTGAGATTGCGCCATTGCACTCCAGCCTGGGCAACAAGAGCAAAACTCTGTCTCAAAAAAAAAGAAAAAAAAGAAAAAAAGATTTGACTGCCCCATTGGATTTTGGACTTGCATGTGGCCTGTAGCCCCTTGATTTTGGCCAATTTCTCCCATTTGGAAAGGGTGTATTTACCCAATGCCTGTGCCCCCATTGTATCTAAGAAGTAGCTAACTTGCTTTTGATTTTACAGGCTCATAAGTGAAAGAAACTTGCCTTGTCTCAGATGAGACTTTGGGCCATGGACTTTTGAGTTAATGCTGATGAATTAAGACTTTGGGGGAAGGCATGATTGGTTTTGAAATGTGAGGACATGAGATTTGGGAGGGGCTGGGGTGGAATGATATGGTGTGGCTGTGTCCCCACCCAAATCTCACCTTGAATTGTAATAATCCCCACATGTCAAGGGCAGGGCAAGATGGAGATAATTGAATCATGGGGGTGGTTTCCCCCACCCCATACTGTTCTCACAGTAATGAATAAGTCTCATGAGATCTGATGGTTTTATAAATGGGAGTTCCCTCTGCACAAGCTCTCTCATGCCTGCTGTCATGTAAGATGTGCCTTTGCTTCTCTTTTGCCTTCCGCCATAATTGTGAGGCCTCTCCAGCCATGTGAAACTGTGAGTCCATAAAACCTCTTTCTTTTATAAATTACCCAGTCTTGGGTCTGTCTTTATTAGCAGTGTGAAAACAGACTAATACATCCTAATAACATCCTTTATAGTCGGAATTGGGGGATTTTTTTATTGTTTTCTGTTTGTTTCCAATTCTGGATCCAATCAAGGATCACATATTAGATTTAATTGTTTTCTCCTTAATGTCCTCTAATCTAAAACTATTTTTCAGCTTTTTGGTCCTTTGGTAACATTAACATTTGGGAAGAATCTAGGCAAATTGTTTTTAAAGAATGCCCCTCAGTTTGAATTAGCCTGTTGCTTATGATTAGATTCAGGTTAAATATTTTTGACCACAGTGCTCCATGGTTGCTGATGGGTCCTTACAAGTGCATCACATCAGGGAACACAACTCAGTTTGTCCCATTACTGGTAATGTTAAGTTAGATATGTTGGCTATGTTGTCTCTAATACACTGGAGAGGTACCTTAATAAGTACTCTGTAGTATGAAACTAGGATTTTAATCCTACGAAGTTGTTACAAACAATTTTAACCCAAAGTTTTCTAATTTTATGCAGAATTGTAGAGCTCTTATTACTGTCCTGATGCAGTTCTCTCTGGCAGTCCATCCTCCCCACATATTGCTCTGACCTCTCCCTGCAGTCCTCCCCCAACACCTTCCACCTCTCTTTCATGGCTCAGTCTTCTGCTATGCTCCTACAGCTTACTCTCTTTTATTCTTCCATTTGGGTCTATATTCTTTCATCAACAAGTTTCTCTATACTCTAAACCTTCAATACAGTGTTCCCTGAACTTGTAGAATTAACTGAAACCTAGACTTCCCACCCTACTAGGACCCAGCACCCTGGGGGCCCTTCCTATTGAAGAACGATCCCTTTCCTCTACCAAGGAATCTAGGAACAACATTATCCTACACCCCTCTGTATCAAAGCAACTCCACTTGGAACAAGTCTTTGAAAAGCATGCCATGCCTCTGTACCACCCTCTAAATCTTCTCATGATTGTCATCTACCAGCCTCCAAATCTTGCCTCTCATGATCTTGGCACTTGCTTACTTTCTTCCCTCTACGTTGGCTTCTTCCATTATTCTTTGGGACTTCAATCTCCATTTAAAAAATAAAAACAACTTTTTTCTACAATACCACATGTTCTTAACATTTTAAACTCTAAAGATTTTACCTCTGCTCCATTTCAGCAATCCATATCCATGATCACAGCTTGGACCTTATTAATACCCAGAAAAGTTTCACATCTGAAATCTCAAATTCCCATGTCTTAGTCCCTCGCATCTTTCAAGCTTCTTCCCACCTTACGTAAATGCAATCTTTAAATGCGTCATGGCTTTCAGGACCAGAACTCTTTCTTCTTCTCCACCACTTTGGTAAACTCTTTTCCTGTGCAACTGCGAAGTTGTCAACTCCTCAACTCCCTTTGCAAACTGAACTGCAGAATATTCCATTCACCTACATTCTCTTAATTCTGAACTGTTGCTGAGCCCTTCAGGAAAAAACCACGAATCACACAGAGCGCCCGTTTGCCCATTTCCCCAGCTGCTCATCCCCAAGCCTTTTTCATCTTAGTAACACCACCACCAGCCACCCAGTTTGCAAGCCTAAAATCTAGAAATCAACACTGATTCATCTCTTTCCTTCTCCTTCTACATGAAATCCATCTACAGGTGCTTAAGACCCTGTCTCCAAAACATACACCAGTATCCAACCACTGGTTACAACCTCTACTGCAACCATCATCATTCCCTTCAAATACTGCAGCCTTTCTGATTCTACTCTTGCCTCATTCCACAACACTTTCTCCACCCAGCAGCCAACGTGATCTTCTTAAAACACCACCACCCTCCTTTAAGCCTTCTAATGGCTTCCCACCACACTCAAAACAAAAATCATTACCCTTGCCTTGACTTATAGAGCAAGCCGTAACTTTCCTCACCTCTGCTTACCTCAGGTGCCTCAGCCCATACTACTTTTCTTCTCTTCACACTGGTCATTCTCTCTTAGGAGCACCAGACTCATTGCTGCCATAAGCATTGCTGCCATAAGCATTGCTGCATTAGCTTTGCCCTTTGCCGCAGAGAACCTCCCCTTGATATCCAATGTCTGGCTCCTTTGGTCAATCAGACTTCATGTTAAGTGTCACATCCTCAGAAAGGCCCCTCCTACCATCTGATTCATAGAAGTTCCCCAGTCCCTTCTGTCACATCGCTTAATCGTCACCTCATAACACTTAGTTGAAGTATTTTGCTTATATACGTATTTGTTCCTGTTTGTCTTCTGCCACTAGAATGTAAGCTCCAGGAGGGAAGGGACTTCGTTCACCTCTGCAACCACTAACACCTAAAATGGTACCTGGCACAAAGCAGACACTCAAAATTGTTGGCTGAATAAATACAATGAAGATTGGAAACAAATATAAATTTATAGCTTACTAATTTTTCTCATCAGTAAAATTGGGAATAATAGTATTACCTAACTCACAGGATTAATAATGAGGATCAAAGTAGTTAATAATGTACAAAGGGCATAGAACAGTATCTAGCACATCAATTGCCATTATTATTATTTGTTACAGAAATAACAAAACAAAAAGGTCACCATCCACTAGAAAAAAACTTTGTGAGAACAACCACATACTGATTCATTAATTTCACTTAACAGATACATATTAATTACTTACTATATTCCTATTGCTGTAAGTGGCACTGTAGATATTAAAAACAATACATAGTTTCAGTCCTAGAAGACTTTCACATTTCAGTAAAGATGACAGTTTCATAAATGAATATTTAAGATGTGGTATAAATACTATAATATGCATATGTAGAAAATACATTGGGAATAATTACTACTGCAGGGAAAATCCGGGAAGCCTTCACCAAAAATGACATTTGAGCTAGACCTTTCTTTCACACTGAGAAAAAAAAAATTCTAAGCAGAGGTAACAGCATGGGAAATAACAGTCCATGCCTCCCTCCTGCCGCACCCTCATCAGCCCCCCTCATCTTCCCACCTATAAACCCAATCCTGCCCCAGCTCCAGGGTGACTCTGTGATATCACGACGTATCCAAGGTCACAACAGACCAAGTAGTGCTAAGATTCTCTTTCTTGGTCACCTATTCATTTCACACTGAATCAGGTAGGCATGCTCCCAAGCACTGTCTGCACAAGCATGCTGAATTTCTGGGATTCATCCATCTTGCCATCTCACACAGAGAACAAATGAAAGCCTCTCTCATCTTACTCTGATAATAAATCAGCATCATCAAGTTGAAAACTGGTTATTCACTTTTTCTTTTGCACTCCCATTGAATTTGTATTTCTAAAATCCTTGTTTACCTGCCTGGGTCCTCTCACAAACGGTACTCCTTAACAGCCTCTCCAATAGCCTTTCTGACTCCACTCTTGTCTCACTCCACAATACATTCCCCGCCCAGTAGCCGAAGTGATCTCTTGACCATCCATGTCTTTGTAGCTCTAATAACTGCACAGTACCTGGCATTAATTTGATAAATAAAAATAACCTGCAAATGAATAAATAAGACTTTATAATTTGTAATGATTTTTATAAGTAATTCTTACATACATCTGCAAAGATATTATAGTCTATTATCTATATATCAACATTATTTCATGTGAAATATTTTAAAATATTAGAATTTAATAAAGATGCTGTAATATATGATTTGAACATACTAAATACAAAAATAAAATGTTAGCTAATCTAACTATAGATCTATAATATATTTTATTTTTTTCCTTCTTTTATTTGAGGTTTTTTTTTTTTTTTTTTTGAGACAGGGTCTCACTCTGTAGCCCAGACTGGAGTGTATAATAAATTTATAAAAAGAGAAAAAAGTAAAATTTTTTTTAGTTAAGAGGAAAAGTATTATTCTATTTATTATTTCTCTTGCAATGTATAGACAGCAGACATACAACCACCTGATCCCATCACTAAATAGGAAAAGAAAGCTCTGCGTTTTTGGGGTTTTTTTTTTCTGTCTTCAATTTTCTGCCTTGTTTTCAAAGGATATTTCATAAAGGAGGAAATAACCAATGAAGCCAAAGTTAATGGGGGAAAAAACCATACATGTCTATATAGTATATGTTATTATCTACCAGTGGAGGAGTTGCAGGTAATTAGAAATTGTTGGCTTAAAGTGATCACGTTTTTTGATCAAGAGCCTCTTCTCCCTGTACTGGCGGATTTCCACTGGTTTGCCTGAATTCTGTTTGCTTGCATTGGGTCTGACAGGCGAAGAACATGGCCAGCTGGTTTCCAAAGCAATACGCTTCCTGGTCTGAGGAAGGCCTGTGAGACATGTCATAAAACAGCTGCCTCTATCTCCCCAACCAGCCAGAAAAAAGCTGAGCAGAACAAAACCTTGAATAAAAAACCTCGACTTTTCATGCAAGGACAAAAGGCAGTTATTAAGCATACCAGGAAGGTTCTTTTATACCTGGTAATTACATATAAATTGGGGACATATAATAAGAAAAAAATCATTTCCCTCTTCATTTACTTAAAAATGTGATTTCTGCAGTCATTATATAATTACTGGTATTTTTCAGTAACATTATTAGGAATAAATGGACTACTGTTTCTGAAATTATCATAAAGATAAAAATACTGAAACTTCCTTATTAGAACTGGTTGTTGAGTAGGTGAAAAGAGAAAATGGTTTATTTCTGTAAAACAGCAAACTGAACTTTCTTCTTTGTCAAAAGGGATCAATCTGTCATCTTTTGCCTTTAAAAAGTGATTCCTCCTATTTCCCTCATACTCTTATAAGCCCTCCATCTTCCTTAAATTCCTCCTTTGAATATTTTGCTCTTTATGACTGCTGATCTCTAATGAAAACTCCACTAGGACTTAGAGTGTAGCACTGTTTTGTGCTCCCCGACCAACACAGTAGTAAAGAAAAGAATAGGAAACTGATTCCTGTTTTTCCTATCTGTGCTACTTTGAGAGCTTAAGTAGGAGTCCTCAATGAAAGTATTAAGGAGGTAATTTGTTTTCCCACATCTTTTAACATTTTCTTTCTGTTTTCTACCCATTCAACAGTCCTCATTCTTGGAAATCACTACATAAAAACCTGAACCAAGCCCCAAGTATGCACATTACCTGTATCAATTGCAACCCTCTTCCCTCATCCAAGCTAATACACCCATGTTCCATTCTCAGCTACACATTCAGTTGTGTTCCAGACCTTACCATGTGGAGTGAACTGGTAGTAATCAGCTAACAATCACATTTTTTAAATTGCTTTTAATATGTTCATTAATGTGCTGGTCTTTGCTCCTCCCATCCCTTCTTCCAGATAACATCATACCTTACCCTGGTTACAATTCACAAGTCAGCTGAAGGCCCTTAAGGGAGAATACCAGTATTGGGGTGTCAAACACCATTGCTGGAGAAGAGGAAAATATTTTTATAGACCAACCTTTCAGCTTTTCTCAAATCATATTACACAGATGTCAAAACTATGCCAAGGCATAAATCTGACACTGTCTAAATTGTCATTACCTCAAAAGTTTACAGCTGAAGAAGGGAAAATTACAGAAGCCAGCTTCCAACTGTGCCAACAACTTAACCATGGCCCATTTCTAGGGGAAGTGTGAGTGAACTGGGTAATGCAACTAGCCACAGAGGCCTGAGGTTTAAAAGATGACACAAAGAAATAACGAATGCAGAGAAATATTAGAATTCGAAAACCACTATTTTGCACCCCTAATGAAAGAATGGATCTAAGCAAGTTTCATCAATGGCTGCCAAAACCATTAGTTGAAACAATGATGATTACACCTGAATCCAACATCAATCTTAATCATCTCTAAAAGTGGAGCATACACACATTACATGCCTCCTAAAGTGATACTATATAAAGTATGCAGCACCACCTATGAAGTATTCTTGTCCCTCCAAAAAAAGGGAAACTAAATCTTAATCTAATCAATCATCTAGTTGTAACCTCCAGTTTACAGAAAATATGAGGGGTAGAGGAATATGATAAACAAAGTGGAGAGGCAGATTCAGATTATGGAAATTCTAAAGGACAAATGACCTGGTTTCTTCAACAAATAAAAGAGAGGTCGAAGGAGGAGAGCCATTATAAATGTAAAAAAAAACTTTAGAAACATGAATCAATGCAAATGAGTGTCCCTCATTCAGACTGAAATTCAAACAAATTCGACTATAAAAGACATTTTTTAGATAACTTGAGAAATTTCAACATGGACTAGGTATTAGATGATATCAGGGAATAACTGTCAATTTTTTGTCAGGTGTAATCTATTAACAGGTGAAATGATACAATTCTAGGAATTTATACTTAAGCAAAAGTAAATGAAACAAGACTGGTAAAACATTGGGAGGCTCATCGTGCCATTTTTTCCGCTTTTGTGAGTTTTGGAAAACTTTCATGTTAAAATATTTTTAGGTTAGCTTTTGTTTTGCTTTGGTTTTGCTTGTTTGTTTTTACAACACAGACTTGATAACTTTATTAGTCACATCCTGCAATTGAAGATTCTTTTTAAAGCCTTATTTAACACGGAAGATCCAACTAATCAAAAGAAGAGACAGTTCTTTGTATAAACCATAAAGAAGGTAAATCGGCAAAAAAAAAAAAAAAAAAAAAAAAAAAAAAAAGCCAGGTGTTTAGGAGCACCAGGCAGAGTAGGGAGGGTTGTGTGAAATCTTGGGACCTTCCACAACTGACTTGACAAAGACAACTTTCCAAAGTTACTCAGCCCAAGCACAGACCTGCTGGCTGGTTTCCCACTCCTCACTGCCAGCTGGCTCCAAGGGTCTCAGCCTGTGCCCCCAGCTCCCAGGAGCAGAGGGCAGAAGAAAAGAGGCAGCTCTACTCTCAGACGGAACTGACCATCTCGGAGTCAGCTGTCCTCCTCTTAGGGCTCCATGCTGAGAGGCCCAGAGGGTGGATGGCTGACCACTCCCAAGCCACCAGCCTGGGGACACTCACCACCATAGCACCAGGGGCTGGGATCCAGTCAGCAGTACTCTACGCAGCAGTAAACAATCCCACTGGACAAGGCAGATTTATCAAATCATTCCATTTTTGGAAAGAAAATGTAAATTGGACAAATTTGATTGTGGCCTGAGTAGTAGATCATATTAAAAACTATTCATTTTGTTTGCTGTGAAATTATAGTGCTATGGTCATGGAAGAAAATGTCCTTGAGGCACACTATACTATTGAAGGGTAATATATCATGATGACTAAGATGTACTTGAAAATACTTCAGCAAAGAAAAATAGAAAAATGTTAATAATTACTAAATACAGGTGACAAAACTAGACTTACTAAAGTAAAAACAAAAAGAGCAATGTAGTGCACATGAGAATATGCATAGTCTAGTACAACTACTTTCGTGTTTTGCATATTATTTTCCAGTCTTAATCTATACAAATACATATGCTTAAGTAACTGCAAACATAATAGACAATCATTTTGGTCAGTTGTTCTCATTTAATATTTTCAATTTTCCATTGTTTTGTCTTAATAATTATTTTTAACAATACTTTATAATGTGCCATAATATTGATACTCCCTAAAGAACATTACCTTAATTTTGAATACTTGAGTTGCTCCCCTGCTTTTTTGCTGTATGATTTAATGTTGCAAAGAAAAACCTTGTATATATAGCTTTATGCTTATGTTAAATTGTTTCACTAAAATAAATCCTCAGAACTATAAGAATGGAGCACAAAAATGTACATATTTATAGTTATATAATTTTATTACATATTATGGTTATATAATAAAAGTATATAAATATATTTTAAAAATATGATACAATAAAAATGTATAAATATATAATCCATAATAAAAACATAAATATGTACATATTTGTGTTCCATTCTTATAGTTCTGAGGATTTTAGTGAAACAATTTAACAAAAGCATAAAACTATATTCACACTGTTTTTCTCTGCAGCATTAAGTCATACCACAAAAAAATGGAGGAAGCAACTCAAGTATTCAAAATTAAGGTAGTGTGTTTTAGGGAGTATCAATATGGCACATTATAAAGTATTGTTTAAAATAATTTGTAGACAAAACAATGGAAAACTGAAAATATTAAATAAGAACAGCTGACTAAAAATGATTGTCTATTATGATTGCAGTTAAGAATATGTATTTGTATAGATTAAGACTGGAAAATAATATGCAAAAATGAAAGTAGTTGTACTAGACCATGCATATTCTCATGCGCACTACATTGCTCTTTTTGTTTTTACTTTAGCAAGTCTAGTTTTGTCACCTGTGTTCAGTAATTATTAACAATTTTTTTTGCATTTTTTTATTATTATACTTTAAGTTCTGGGATACATTTGCAGAACATGCAGGTTTGTTACATAGGTATACACATGCCATGGTGGTTGGCTTCACCCATCAACCTGTCATCTACATTAGGTATTTCTCCTAATGCTATCCCTCCCCTAGCCCCCCACCCCCTGACAGGCCCCAGTGTGTAATATTCCCCTCCTTGTGTCCATGTGTTCTCATTTTTTAACTCCCACTTAGGAGTGAGAATATGCGTTGTTTGGTTTTCTGTTCCTGTGTTAGTTTGCTGAGAATTATGGTTTCCAGCTTCATCCATGTCCCTGCAAAGGGCATGAACTCATCCTTTTTATGGCTGCATAGTATTCCATGGTGTCTATGTGCCACATTTTCTTTATCCAGTCTATCACTGAAGGGGATTTGGGTTGGTTTCAAGTCTTTGCTATTGTGAACAATGCTGCAATAAACATACATGTGCATGTGTCTTTATAGTAGAATGATTTATAATCTTTTGGGTATATACCCAGTAATGGGATTGCTGGCTCAAATGGTATTTCTGGTTCTAGGTCCTTGAGGAATCGCCACACTGTCTTCCACAATGGTTGAACTAATTTAGACTCCCACCAACAGTGTAAAACATTCCTATTTCTCCACATCCTCTTCAGCATCTGTTGTTTCCTGACTTTTTAATGATTGCCATTCTACCTGGCATGAGATGGTATGTCATTGTGGTTTTGATTTGCACTTCTCTAATAACCAGTGATGATGAGCTTTTTTTCATATGTTTATTGACCACATAAATGTCTTTTTTTTTTTAGAAGTGTCTGTTCATATCCTTTGCCCAATTTTTGATGGGGTTGTTTCTTTTTTTTCTTGTAAATTTGTTTAAGTTCTTTGTAGATTCTGGATATTAGCCCTTTGTCAGATGGATAGATTGAAAAAATTTTCTCCCATTCTGTAGGTTGCCTGTTCACTCTGATGATAGTTTCTTTTGCTGTGCAGCTCTTTAGTTTAATTACAACCCATTTGTCAATTTTGGCTTTTCTTGCCATCGCTTTTTGTGTTTTACTTATGAAGTCTCTGCACATGCCTGTGTCCCAAATGGTATTGCCTAGGTTTTCTTCTAGGGTTTTTATGGTTTTAGGTCTTACATTTAAGTCTTTAATCCATTTTGCATTAATTTTTGTATAAGGTGTAAGGAAGGGATCCAGTTTCAGCCATTTATTAAATAGGAAATCCTTTCTCCATCGCTTTTTTTTTGACAGGTTTGTCAAATATCAAATGGTTGTAGATGAGCGGCATTATTTCTGAGGTCTTTGTTCTGTTCCATTGGTCTATATATCTGTTTTGGTACCAGTACCATGTTGTTTTGGTTACTGTAGCCTTGTAGTATAGTTTGAAGTCAGGTAGCATGATGCCTCCAGCTTTGTTCTTTTTGCTTAGGATTGTCTTGGCTAAAAGGACACTTTTTTGGTTCCATATGAAATTTAGAGTAGTTTTTTTCTAATTCTGTGAAGACAGTCAATGATAGCTTGATGGGGATAGCATTGAATCTATAAATTACTTTGGGCAGTATGGCCATTTTCACGATATTGATTGTTCCTATCCATGAGCATGGAATGTTCTTCCATTTGTTTGTGTCCTCTCTTATTTCCTTGAACAGTGTTTTTTCTTTGCTGAAATATTTTAAAGTATATCTTAGTCATTATGATATACTATCCTTTAATAGGGTAGTGTGCCTCAAGGACATTTTCTTCCATGAGCATAGTACTATAATTTCACAGCAAACAAAAAATATATGTATATATATGTCCCTGGCAAAACTTTATATGTTGCTGGACAAATGGTTTTAATGACATCAGCAAAATGTGCTTGTATCAATTTCAGACCATTACTAGCATTTTCTTAAATTTTTATCAAATTTTTATATATAAGGATGTTTACATCTTTGTTTATTGGCAACTTGGTTAATTTTTTTTAAGCTTATTCAGGATTTTTTTTTTTTTTTTGGAGAGGTAGTCTCGCTCTGTTACCCAGGCTGGAATGCAATGGTGTGATCCCGGCTCACTGCAACTTCTGCCTCCAGGTTCAAGTGATTCTCCTGCCTCAGCCTCCCAAGTAGCTGGGACTACAGACACAAGCCACCATACCTGGCTAGTTTTTGTATTTTTAGTAGAGACACGGTTTTACCATGTTGGTCAGGCTGGTCTTGGACGCCTGACCTCAAGTGATCCACCGGCTTCGGCCTCCCAAAGTACTAGGATTACAGGTGTAAGCCACCACACCCAGCCTCAGGATTTTTTTTTTTCAAACAAAATCACAGGAAGTACTTGACAATGATATTTGAACATGAAACCTAGCTGGCTGACCTTAGAGAGCCAGAATTTGAAAGTATAATTAAAATGGTTAATTCTTATCATTTGCTATTTATCTATTGGAATCATGATGCTTTCTCATAAATTTTAATGAACTATTTACATATTGCTATTATCTTCTATTCTTGACAAAGCTATTATTTTTCTTAGGCTGTGTTATCATTATTTCAGTTTAGTTTTGTTTTGTTTGTATGGAGAGATAATATAGGCTTTTGTTGTCTATATATTCAAATATATTGGTCTTTTAATTTCTTAAGGTTTTATTTCCCAACAAAACCAAACACTTCTAAGATCATCTTGACCTACAGTGCATTTGCCAACAGTGATCAACACAGTGCAACACTACTGAGAACGTTATAACTGTCTTATCATTAATATGCTAGATTCCTTACTCTCTCACATTCCTCCACACAGTGACAAAATCCCATCAACGTTACCTCCTAAATATTTAACTCTATCCTCTCCTCTCCATCCCTATTACCACTATCCCTCATCATCTGTCACCTGAAATGCTGAATGTAACTGCCTTCTAACTAGTCTCCCTGTCTCCAAAATAGTCCTCTTGCAATGCAAAACTGCCATTAGTGCCAGCTTAAACCTTCCAGAGTCCCTCCCTTTATGTCCCCTCATCCCCTTGCACCCTCCCCCACAACTCTCCAGTCTCTCAATAACAATTGGCCAACATGCTTTTAATGTTTACCTGAGTTAAGCAGTTTGCAAACATTACTTCAATTACCCCTCATAAGAATGTTTTAAATACAATGCCATTGTTGTTCCCATTTTACAGATGAGTAAACTGAAGCATATAGAGGTTAAGTAGTTTCACCAAGTTCTCACAGGTAGAAAGATGCAGAGGCAGGATGCAAACTCAGCTCTACTGAACTCCAAAGCCCACATACTCTCTTAACCACTGCATCACACTTCCTCACAGGTGGATCTTCATCTCTCAGCAATACTGCCTGTTTGCCATTCTGCCCCATAGCAACACTGTAATGCCTGGAATTCCTCATATACATTCGTGCTGCTTCCCCACTCACTATGCTCATGCTATTCTGTCTCTTGGAAATGTCCTTCCTTCTCCTTTTAACCATGACCTAGATGACTCTTACCCATCTTGTTTAAGACTCAGCTCAGGTGTTGCATCCTCCAGGAGGCCTTTTCCTATATAACTCCTTCCCTGCCCTCACCCTTCTCTCTCTAAGAAGGTACCCTTCCTCTGTGTTCATCTCCATCACTATACCCACCACATTGTGTTATCAATTTCTGTTCTTATGTTTGCCTTCTCCACTAGACCATGAGCTTGAGACAATCTTTCTGTTTTGTTTTGTGTTTTGTTTTGTTTTTAGACAGGGTCTCACTCTGCCACCCAGGCTAGAGTGAGACCTCTGCCTCCTGGGCTGAAGCAATCCTCCCACCTCAGCCTCCTGAGTAGCTGGCACCACAGGCACACACAACCATGCCCGACTTTTTCTATTTTTGATAAAGATGGGTTCTTGCCATGTTGCCCAGGCTGGTCTCACACTCCTGAGCTCAATGGATCAGCCCATCTTGGCCTCCCAAAGTGCTGGGATTACAGACGTGAGCCACTGCACCTGGCTTGAGACCATCTTAATCATCCATATGTCCCCAGCCAGTGCTGTGCCTGGCATGTAGTGGGCTCTCAGTGCTTCATCAATGTTCAGAGTAAGAAATAAAGAATGTTTAATCAACTAATTCTCAACTATTTGTTGAGTATCTACTATGTCTAATGTATGTATTAAAGTTTTGGGCTGGGACAGTCAGGGAAGGCTATAGAGAAAAGAGAAGATTTTAAATGGGGTCGAAAGATGTACAAGGCTCAGAAAGCAAAGCCACATATCAATAATCTAAATCTAATGTTTGAGCAAATGCTTAGGCTGGGGACCATGGTTAGCTATAAATGGCAAAGCTGAGAAGTTGATTGTCTTCCTCTTGCTCTTGAATTCTATCAGATCAGCTGTTTCCTTATCCAAGAGCAAAGTGTCAGATTCAAGCTGTGTTCCAGGGCATTTAACCTTTCAATGATGAGCATCTCACCTTAACTCTAAGATCATCTCCTAGGACAGAAAATTGTGGAAATGCTTCTAAATAAATTAAAAACCTAGAGACGGTTAGATCATGAGATACATTAATAATAATGAAATGTCAGAAACATGTGCAGCTACATGTAATGAACTCAACAACTGTCCGAAGGTCATAGAGGTCTTCCTGCAAAATACATGTCATTCTGTTTACATCAAACACAGAAAACTCATTTACAAGTGAATGTCATTTTCATCTTTGTTCCATGGCCAAGTACATCTCATTTGCATTTGTTTTTTTCCCTACTGGAGTGCTTGTCACTATTCTACAGCTGGTGTGGGTTGTGCTCAGTACCTGCTACTTACCATAGGCTCAGGCTCTAGTCATCCAGTTACAAGTCTGAATCATAATCCCAAAGACGGTTTTACATAAGGTATTTTTAAATAATATGCATCATTGGGAAATCAAAATTTGGTGATAGTGTTCACAGGAAAAAACTAAAAGTTCAAATGCATGTGCATGCAAACATACTCTTTTCCCATGTGAGCCCAACATTAGGATTTCTATATTGCTAGGCCTGGAGAGGTACAGTTCTATAGCTAAGGCCTCCCAAGGATCCTTTGCCAAATTCCCAAGAGAACAAAAGAATGGGGTGGAGGCCCCATTGTTGTCTCCCTATGTACAGAGTATGATCAAGAGCTAAAGGTAACTCTGAGTTTTCCAACTATGGAGAGAAGGACCAGTTGAACAGTCAGCCAATCATCCCTCTCCCAGACGCTGGTCTGATTCTGACACTGTCCTGGCCAGCTCAGCATCCTCAATAGCTCTTTCCTCACTGCAATCAAAGCAGTAGCACCTTATGAAACACACCTGCAGCCCACCTACAAAATCACTTAACACAAGTTATTCATTGAAGTGTCTTTAAGGTAATAAAAGATTGAAAACAACCCAAAGGTCATCAACAGGAGAATTGGTTAAATCTGTCTTTCTACATCTACACAATAGAGTACTATGTAGCAATAAAAGAAAAAAAAAGTGAGGAGGCTCTCTTTGAATTATCATGGAAAATTTCTCCACAGTATATTAATTTGAATAAAAAGCAGGATACAGAAGAGTGAATATTAAATATTTAAGACAGGGAAGAAAATAAAAATACATTCATTCTTGGATATTTGTATTTACAAAAAGAAAACTAGATGTATACAAGAAACTAAAATAAGTGATTACAAGTATAGATCAAGATTTTTTGGTTTTGAAATTCATAGAATTTGGGGGATCTACTTTAAGAAATAAAACACAGAATTAGGTACTGGTCTGTATTTGTCCATTTTCATGCTGCTGATACCTGAGACTGGGAAGAAAAAGAGGTTTAATTGGACTTACAGTTCCACATGGCTGAGGAAGCCTCAGAATCATGGTGGGAGGCAAAAGGCACTTCTTACATGGCAGCAGCAAGAGAAAAAATGAGGAAGAAGCAAAAGCGGAAACCCCTGATAAACCATCAGCTCTCTTGAAACTTATTCAGTATCATGAGAATAGCATGGGAAAGACCGGCCCCCATGATTCAATTACCTCCCCCTGGGTCCCTCCTACAACACTTGGGAATTCTGGCAGACACAATTCAAGTTGAGATTTGGCTGGAACACAGCCAGACCATATCAAGGTCTTATATAAGGATTTCACGCCAGTGAGCTTCGTGGTACCTCTACCCGTGGTTGATTACCTATGAGCTGACAGAAGTGCACAGAAATGAGATTGGATTAAGACTCCTAGATAGATACCTATTTAGACAGTTTTGTTCTTTGAAAATTGAGTATATTTCTTATTTAGAATGCAAAACCTACCTTTTTTTTTTTTTTTTTTTTTTTTTTGGTAGATACAGGAGTCTCGTTATGTTGCCAAGGTTGGTCTTGATCTCCTGGCCTCAGAGTGATCTTTCTGCCTTGGCCTCCCAAAGTGCTGGAATTATGGGCATGAACCACCTCACCTGAGCATCTCAATCATCTTATTTAAGTTTGGCTCCATTCTGCAACCTTGTGTCTGCAGGGATTCTCCCTCAGCCCGACTTTTTCCTGATGACAATGTGCCTAGCATTCTGTTTTGAGTTTGCCCTTGTATTTCCCTCTTTCTGATCACCCTCAGCTCTGTCATCAATAGAGCAGCTTCAGACCACCCCAGCCCCACCTCTGCCCCCTGCCTGGCCCAGATTTCCAGGAATATAGCCTGCTACATGTGAAAAGAGTTTGAACGTTGAATGAACCACACCACAAATGATCTCCAATACCATGGGATGCTAGGAAACTGGGAACTTTTTTAGGTACTGACTTGGGAATTCAGTGATTCTCTGGCTGTGCACCATAGTCCTGAAATTCTCAACAGAATCCAACTATTACACCTTCCTTCCTAGGGTCCTCAGGATCACAGGTGGGCCATTTTAAATCTATCCTTATACACATCTTCTTGTTTAATAAAACCAAGTAAGCCTAGACTAGATAGGACACAGCCTTGCAGGGACTTACCAGAATTCAAATGTCTTCAAATACATAACAAGCCAAAGATGGTCTCTAACTTAACTCTGGTTCCAGCTAAAAAGCCTGGGGACCCACTTATCTTTCAGCTCACCTCATCATCACCCTGTAAAACATTCATTGGATCTAGTTACAAAGGATTCAGATCGAATTTCTGGAAACCTCTTTCATCAGGTGACACTGTTTTAAAGAGGTCATATGGCAGGGTGTGGCAGCATGTGCTTGTAATCTCAGCTACTCAGAAGGCTGAGGCCAGAGGATGGCTCAAACCCAGGAGTTCCATACCAGCCTAGGCAACATATTGAGAACCCATCTCAAAAACAAACAACAACAACAATAAAGCCCTAAATAAATAAATAAATGAATAGAACAAGAGGGCATACATTAATAGTATGTTGAGAATAAGGCTGTGTAGTGGAGTCAGTAGGCTTAGGAATGAATCTTAGGAATACTTCTAGCTTGGTATTGAAACAAGCCCCATTTCCCTTATCTATTAAATAGATTGTTATAAAGATTAAATGAGATAATAAAGATTTAATTAAATGAGTGATGTCAAGGAAATCTTGAGGCGAAGCTATTTTTTTTCCACTTTATGAGAATATTGGCCCATATAAATATCATGAAGTCTCAAACTACTAATTCAATACAATAATAAACAAATTGATTTAGAAACCAATGTAGGGCATAGTATATATACAAGCACCTATAGATGGCAATGCCAGTACCCTGAGATCACATTTCAGCATGTTAGCTTTAAATAATTCCGAAAGCCTATCCCATAAACCCTCTGATGTATTTTCTTTTCTCTACATCCTCTTGGTTGCTAAGGCATTTCTTTCTCTTGCTTTCTGAAAAATCACAAATAAGCTTATAAAATGCGACATCCTACATTGACTTGTTTCTCATTGGATTGACTTTTAGCATACCTGAAAGCATTTTGCTGCTCACAGATGTGTGCTGCTACAGTCCAATGCCCTCAAGAGAGCTTGAATCCGACCTGGTCACGTCTCCATTTCCCTTAAGGTGACAATTCAGGAATCCACTGCTCAGTGTCAAGTACAGAATCTTATCTCTCTGCCTTTTTTTTCCAGGGATTTAAACAAGATTAAAAACAATCTTTGACCTTCGCTGTTATGTAAAGCCATCTGCTATTGCATCTATCTCCACTATATCTCCTGTCACATAAGACATTTCCACCTAAGGCTTTCTACTCAAATCACTAGATTTAAGTGTCTCCCACTCAAATACAACTTGCCATGAAAGTCATTCTCTACTTAAAGTAACTTTCAGGAAAACTGCTGCACTACCAGCATTAAGAATAGAAAATTTGTATTTGCAGCCATTTCCTGCAATATCAAATTATGCAAAAGTATATATGGATAGAAAAAAAGTAGAGAACGCTCATGATGTTTGGATATTTATTTCATTTTTAGTAGTTTCCTCACTCTACTTGAAAACATTTCTCTTAATCTGTTTAACTCAAATTACCAAAAAATCTGACTTTTATATTCTTTAATGAACTCATGATTTCGTCTTTATTGGCCATTTACATGAAACGTTAAACTTTAAATAATTAAAATGTACTTGAAATAAAGCTAGTGCCTTCAGAGGGGTTACATGCATATGTGTAGTCCACCCACTTTCGGTCCCTTTTTGAAGGACTCTTGGAGGGTTTGCAAGCTAAAGGCATTAACAAGTTGTCTGTGGTACAACGGCTTAATTTGAATTAAACTACAGTCGCATATGACAGAAGCCCTCCTTTCATCTTTTGTAGGGAGGTCGCCGAGCCCAGAGCGAGCGCCACGCTCCTTCTGGAACTAAACACGTTGGCCCAGCCGTCTGATGAGTCCTCCTCTTCACAACTCACACCTGGGTGGCCAAGGGTCACGCTTGACCTCGCGATGGCGCCGGCGCCTCTGCCCTCTTCCCGTTGGGAAGGCGGCAGATGGCGAGAGCGCACGGCGCGGGTGCCGCAGCTCCCCTCCACAGCGGGGTCGGGCGGTTTCCACAAAGACCAGTTACGCCTGAAACTCTCCCGTCCTCCTGCCGGCATCGCGGGTCTTCCCAGGTCCTCCTCTCCAGCAGGACTCCTGGACTGTCCACCTAAACGCGGCGAGACTCCCGCACCTCTGCCCCAACAAGACCCCAGAAACCCCTATTCCCAGGGAGCGCGAGGCTGTGAGCCCAGGGAGCGCGAGGCTGTGAGCCCAGGGAGGGCGAGGCTGTGAGTCCAGGGAGCCCGAGGCTGTGAGCCCAGGGAGCGCGAGGCTGTGAGCCCAGGGGTCGCCACGCCACAGGACGCTGCTCGCACTCTCACCTCCGGCTCCGCCTGGCCGCCGCCGCACTAGCCCAAGCGGCCGGGGTTCTTTCGCCGCGGCCAGCTCGCCACCAATAGCAACCCTGGCTCCAAGGAATGCACCAATGGGAGCGCTCGGAGTAACGCGGCTCAACCAATCACCGCCCTCTCGGCTCTGGAACCCCACCAGCAGTGTTATCACTACTCCCGTAACTCCGCCAAACGGTAGTTCTAGCCACTCCCGTCCTTCCCTCAGAGTCTAGACGTCAAATATACTTTTCCCTGAGTAGAGTCCTGCGGAATTGCGGCTTATGCTCGGCTCAGGAAGACATGCACGCGCGCTCACCTCCGCTGCGTTCTTCTGCTTAAGCTCATCCCTCAATGCCCAGCCAAGCTTTTCAAAAATTAGTGAAAACAAACGAGAATTATTTTTACCACGCAATTGACCTCTATGAACTATTCGAACCTTTGTCTCAGCTTAAAATGGAAAGATGGCCTGAGAAGGAAGAGGTCTGAAGAAGTCTTTCCTTAGCAAAAGCATGGAAAGCCTTTATTTACTGAAGCTGATGTGAGTTGGGGGCTAGAAGTGAACCAAGAGGAGAGTGTTCTGCAAAAAGATGCTAGTGTTATACAAGGCTATCAACCCTTATCTCCTTAGGTTGATATCTTCGAAATGAAAACACAAAGAGTTGCTAGAATTTAGGGTTTTTTAAAAATATATATATCGTTTGATAGCTCACTATGCGTCAGGTGTGATCTGAGCTGCTGGCCTGCGTTAACTCATTTGATGTTCACAACTATCCTATTGCTTATTTCGCCCTATTTTTACAAGTGAGGAAATTGAGGCAATAGAGAAACTGGCCCAAGATGCAAAGCTACTAAGTGACAGAGGCAGGACTAGAACCCAGGTCTGTCTGAGGTATTTAGGTTAACAAAACAGTTTAATGCCCAAACTAACTAGGTTCAAGCAATCTAGAGTCTTTCACTTCTAAAGAAAATGAATACACCTCCTATCTTTTAAAAAAAATTTTTGGTACAAAATATTCAGTTAGAATCCCAGAAACTTCCAGTGGCATTAGCATAACCCTCAAAGTTAGTTGTGGTCACCAAGATAAGAAGAGTTGAATGGTGGGTGGCAGGGAGAAGAGAGAAGGGGATAGGAAACAGAAAGAAATAATCTGAGAAACACTAATTCAACTGAGGCACTTAAAATAAACAATGTTATTGTTCCTGATTGTATATCACTGATATGACTTTGTCATTAAAATGAATAATGGCATTATGTATGATATTATGCACATACATGAACAAATACATGGGTTATTGAGGCAACCTATGGAGAATTACACATGACTTTTGATTAAGAGACACTTTGTTCAATTTTTTTGTATTGGAATCTATTTTAACAACGTCTAGAAGATATCAATTCACAAAGGGGAAACAGAATACTGGGTCCTTTGTTTTATTAAATTCTAAATGTATATCCTTTAACCAAACTAATTTTAGGTTTATTTTTTGAGATGGGGTCTCACTATGTTGCCCAGGCTGGAGTGCAGTAGTTATTCACAGACATGATCATAGCACACTGCAGCCTTGAATTCCTGGGCTTAAGCTAGCCTTCTGCCTCAGCCTCCTGAGTTGCTGAAACTACAGACATGAGCCACTGCCACCGGCTTATTTTTAATTTATTTTTATGAGCTATTTTCAGAAGTTACAGGAGTTGGTACTGAGCCAGAAAATGGGAGAAGGGGGCAATACTGTTATAGCTGATAAAATGTTTCCCATGTTTCAAATCTGGGCAGCCTTTGTCACTTTCCTTAAGAACTCATATGCTCTGATTTCAGAAAAGCTTTTCCAATATTCTTCTATAGTGGACGATTTGGTTTGAAGCAATAATTGCTTCTAAGGGCAGGACCACAATACTAAGCAGGCAGCAAGAAGCTCTGGGCTCTTGGAGGTGATTTAGCAGGCAGATGCTTTAATTCACTTCTAGTTCTGTGTGATGAACTGTGAACCTGGTGGGGCAAGCTGATGGTCCTCCTCCATGGAAAGGAAAGAGCTGCAAGTTGCATAAGAACCTGGCACAGTATAGGTCCTCAATAAATGGTAGTATCTTTGTCACCATATTTACATGTTGATAGTTTTTTTTTCTCTCTCTCTCTGTTAGCTTTCTTTTACAAAGTGAAACATTTTCTGGTCAGCTGACACTAAAAACCTATAATTCCTAGCATACATTTTCTCATAGAAGAAATCTTGCAGATCACCACCAATAGAAATCACATGCCCTCCCCTATCCATGCCCCCCTGCTGTGATGTGCCAGAAAATGTTCCTGCCAGCCACCGGCTGACTAAAGCAGTGTTGCCAACAGGAAGAAAGGTGAAGACTTGCAAATCATTCAGGATTCAGAAAATAATGGGCATTTTTAACTGAGTTAAATTATCAGAGTCACATCCAGACCCTTGGGTGACTCGCCAGAATCTTCAAACTGATCTCTGAAAAGTGCTGCAGACATGGGCCCTTCGGGTACCTGCCCTTAGCTAAGAGGTTGACTGATCCTCCACTTTCTACAGTGAAATCCTCCCCAGAGTGTATATGGGGAGGAAGATGGGTGCTTTCCAATTTTAGTCAACAAAATTATAT